>NC_000002.12:17055209-17206725 GCF_000001405.40 Homo sapiens | reverse complement strand
AAAAATAGAAGTATGGAGGGTGGGGGAGAAAGAACAGTTCTTGTTTTTTTCTCTTGATTAAAATCCATCCTTTTAGATGTGATGTATTTTTCTAGTGAGAGAGGTGTGCAGAAAAAAAATACATGATGAAGGACCAGTCTGTTTTTCAGCTCAAAATTAGACCAAGGATTTTAATTTATCTTCTAGTTTCTTCTAGTTGACTGTGTGAAGAGTCTGGAATGAGGTCTCCAGAGTAATATAGTCACAAATAAGGAGGAGCATGCAGAGAGCCAAAGGGAAGAAATAATGATGAAGCAACCTGATGTTCCTATTCCACAGGCTCCAAAATGAGGCACCAGAGGCATAGGCAATCCCAGAGCCAACCTGGAATTACAGCCAGATGAATGGATCATATCTACAGAGAATTAGAAATGAGAGAACGCTAAATCCTAAAGGGAATGGCTGCCTATAAAAGTCCTTCAGAACAAATCTCAGATACATGCCTTTCTTTCAGACAAGGAACATAGATCTAGGGACAGTGAGCCTTGCAGGAGACTTGATAGTTTTTTGTCTACCTTCTCTGAGAGGATGGCTAACAAACTTTTCTCAGATAAAGAGGATCACCAAAAGGGAACTTTCTTAAATATGCTTCCTGTGTCAAAAGCAAAAAAAAACAAAACAAAACAAAAAAAAAGAAGACTGAAAACCAGGGGATACAGGGAATTGGTATTAAAGGAAACAATGATAACAGCAAAAACAAAACATGTTTGGAAAGATTGTTATTGTTCATAGTGAATCCTTGTATGTACTGCTTAATTTACATATTGGCCCTGTATTTGTTTTCTAATGCTGGGTAGCAAATTAAATAGATGACCATGAATTTAGTGGCTTAAGTAAACAGCCATTATTGGTGCTGGGAAAACTGGACACATATAGTGCTAGCCATATGTGGAAAGCTGAAACTGGATCCCTTCCTTACACCTTATACAAAAATTAATTCAAGATGGATTAAGGACTTAAATGTTAGACCTAAAACCATAAAAACCCTAGAAGAAAACCTAGGCAATACCATTCAGGACATAGGCATGGGCAAGGATTTCATGACTAAAACACCAAAAGCAATGGCAACAAAAGCCAAAATAGACAAATGGAATCTAATTAAACTAAAGAGCTTCTGCACAGCAAAAGAAACTATCATGAGTGAAGAAGCAACCCACCGAATGGGAGAAAATTTTTGCAAGCTACCCATCTGACAAAGGGCTAATATCCAGAATCTACAAAGAACTCAAACAAATTTACAAGAAAAAAACAAACAATCCCATCAAAAAGTGGGCAAAGGATATGAACAGACACTTCTCAAAAGAAGACATCTGTGCAGCCAACAGACACATGAAAAAATGCTCATCATCACTGGCCATCAGAGAAATGCAAATCAAAACCACAATGAGATAGCGTCTCACACCAGTTAGAATGGCAATCACTAAAAAGTCAGGAAACGACAGATGCTGGAGAGGATGTGGAGAAATAGGAACACTTTTATACTGTTGGTAGGAGTGTAAATTAGATCAACCATTATGGAAGACAGTGTGGCGATTCCTCAAGGATCTAGAACTAGAAATACCATTTCACCCAGCAATCCCATTACGGGGTGTATACCCAAAGGATTATAAATCATGCTACTATAAACACACATGCACATGTATGTTTATTGTGGCACTATTTACAATAGCAAAGACTTGGAACCAACCCAAATGTCCAACAATGATAGACTGGATTAAGAAAATGTGGCACATATATACCATGGAATACTATGCAGTCATAAAAAGGATGAGTTCATGTCCCTTGCAGGGACATGGATGAAACTGGAAGCCATCATTCTCAGCAAACTATCAGAAGGACAGAAAACCAAACACCGCATGTTCTCACTCATAAGTGGGAATTGAACAATGAGCTCACTTGGACACAGGGTGGGGAACATCACACACTGGGGCCTGTCGGGGGGTGGGGGGCAGGGGGAGGGATAGCATTAGGAGAAATACCTAATGTAAATGACGAGTTGATAGGTGCAGCAAACCAACATGGCACATGTGTACCTATGTGTCAAACCTGCATGTTGCGCACATGTACCCTAGAACTTAAAGTAAAAAAAAAAAAAAAAAAAGACAACAGCTATTATTTATGTCATGGTTCTGTAGGCCAGAAGTCTGGCACAATGTGTTTGGATTCTCTAGTAAGTGCCTTACTGTGATATAATCAAGGTATTATCTGGGGCTGCAGTTCTCATCTGGGGCCCAGGGTCCTCTTCTACGCTCACTGGTTATTGAAAGAACTAATTTATCTGTTATATTTTCCATCTGTCTTTCTTCATCTAGAAGCTAGCAATGGCAGGCTGAGTCCTCATGCATCAGAGCTCTTCTACTTCCTCTTTTACTCCTCTTCTGTTTTCCTATTCTGCTTTAAGGGCTCATGTGATTGCACTGAGCCAACTTGAATAATCCAGGGAAATCCTCCTATTCTAAGGTCAACTGATTAGTAAACTTAATTACATCTGCAAAATCCCACTTGTCATGTAACGTACCATAACCATTCCTGGGAGGAATGCCAGGGCACAGAGATCACTGGGGCCAAAATTCTGCCTATCACAGTCCTGGTGTGATAGAAATTTTTAAGTGTAAATTTTGAAAATAAAAATGCCAAGGCATGAAAATGTTAAATAACCTACTCATGGTCATGTATCTAAATGGTAGGTTAGGTACCTAAATGGCTGTTCTGAGCACCCAGCACTTACTCTTCCTTCTAGCTTGCAATTCCTTTGTGTCTGGGAATGAATGAAATAACGTGTTTGCTGAGGGGCTAGTTACTACAGTGCTCTATCTAAACAGACATTTAGCACATCTTTATGACTAAGAAAACACATACTTAGTTTAAATTAATCTATACAAAAGAAATATAGTGGATTTCTAAAATGCAAATTTGGTGCTTCTAAAAAAATAATGTGTTTTGGGTAGCATGTAGTGAGGCAGAGAGCAGAAAATAGGTTTGGGTGCATAAAATAGGTTTGGGTGCATATAGAAAGGGTGGTAGCTGGAGTCCAACCATAAGAGAGAAAACTCATAATTCTGTAAGTGTGTGGTTACTTCTTGAATAATGACACCAAGCCCTCTTCTCTTGGGGGTAAATCATAGACACCTCTGTGTTGGGAGCCAGAAATGCTAGTTTTCTAGATGAGCAATTCTTTCAGAGGGATAGAATAGGGCAGCTGCTATGGTTCAATTGTGTTTTCCAAGGTTTATGTGTTGTAAACTTCATTTCCAATACAACAGTGTTGAGAGGTCAGACCTTTGAAAGGTTTTTCGATCATGAGGGCTCTTCCCTCAAGAATGGATTAATGCTTTTATCAAGGGAGTGGATTAGTTAATTTGGGAATGGGTTCTTCACAAAAAGGATGAGTTTGGTTCCCATTCTCTTTCTCTCTCTCTTGCACATATGCATAAACACACATAATCTCTTGCCCTTCCACCTTCCACCATGGAATGAGGAAGCAGGAAGGCCTTTGCTAGATGCAGACTCTTTAACCTTGAGCTTCCCAGTCTCCATGACTGTAAGAAATAAATTTCTTTTCTTTATAAATTACCTAGTCTGTGGTATTTTGTTATAGCAACATAAAGTGGACTAAGAAAGTAGCCTAACACAATAGAATAGTGCTTGAGATTTAACCTGAAGGCGGCATTTTCTTCCTAATTTGATTTTACCCTTTCTCAGAAGTGACTTGTTGGCCTTGCACAAGGGCTCAGTGCAATCACATGAGCCCTTAAAGCAGAATAGGAAAACAGAAGAGGGAGTAAAAGAGGAAGTAGAAGAGCTCTGATGCATGAGGACTCAGCCTGCCATTGCTAGCTTCTAGATAAAGAAAGACAGATGGAAAATATAACAGAGAAATTAGTTCTTTCAATAACCGGTGAGCGTAGAAGAGGACCCTGGGCCCCAGATGAGAACTGCAGCCCCAGATAATACCTTGATTATATCACAGTAAGGCACTTACAAACACATTCAATTGAATCGAATTGAATTATAAATAATTCCAAAGTAAGATATCCAATTAAATTTTTTTGATGAATTTAGTAATGTTCCACTCTACTGGACTTTAAATGTGAAAAAGTAAATACAAGCAGTACATGAATAACAGTGCAACTCTTTTAAATAGGAATTGGAATTTTGATGCTGCTAATAGTGGCATCAAATGTGTAAAATAATTTATGGAAGGATAAGATGGCTTCAGAGTTCTGTAGTACTCTATTATCACCAGTTATTTAGTTAACCTTTCAAAAACTTATTTTATATTACATTTTATCTGCTAAATTAAGAGATTTGGTTTCTGATACCTGACTGTCCTGACTGGACTCTGACTGATTATACACAGACACACAACATCACACACACACACACACATACACACACACACACACACCACTAAGCAAGTACCCTGTAGTATAACCCCTCAGTCTATTTAATTTCCTTAGAAACACAGCATGGTTATTATTAGAAGTGAAATTTATTTGTTTTCTATTTGAGAAAAGGACAACAGGCTTACATTGAAATATTAATGTTTGACAATTACTTTCCATTGTATATCCAGATTTGTTTATAAATGAAAAGGCATAAAATTCTAGGCAATAAAATGGCCTCCAAATTCTGAGACTCAAAAGGATTTTGTATCATTAAGAAAAATTAAGTTGGCAGTAAGTTTTTATAATGTGAGCCCTTCATTTATTGCTTTGCCAACTAAAAAAGGGATCGTATTTCAGCTAAACTACCATAGAATACATTTATAAAAATAATCCTAAATCCACTATTATAATGATTATCTCATGAGCTTTCTTGAAATACCCAAACTCCTTGATCTGTCATTCAAATGCATCACTGACTTGACCTTTCTCCACCTTTCTAACCCCTTTTCCCATTATTCTTTTCTTTTTCAGTCCAAACAACAAGTGGTTGCCTGCCCCATCTGTCCTCCCCTCAAGCATACTCTAAGCTATTTAGGCTTTGGGTTCCATGAAATCTGGAAAAATTCTTCAGAGGCTGAAAGACAGTAAGAACATTAATTTCCCCTACAGTTTCCCAGTCTGAAGAGAGCTGCTTGTTAAAACAGGGAAAAGCATCTCTAATTCAAAATGCCAGTAGTCATACAATTAAACTGGGAAATGGAGAACTAATTATGATTGTATAAAATATATGAAGCTTTCATATCAAAAAGTAAATCTCAAATGGCTCAGCTTTAGGATATCCATCTTTCTCAGCCTGGTCCCTGGCTGGAGACAAATATTTGGCATATGTCATAGTTTAGCCATCAACCCAAAGGCACCAAGATACTTGCTGCTATCACCTATTTTCTTCCATGTCGTTTTGAGATCTTTGCCTATTGCCAGACCCATCTTTGCCAAAAAGGAATTAATCATGTTCTAGTGAAGTCACTGTGGGTATGTATTTATTCATTCTCAGGAGCCTGGCAATGGCTCCAGTCCTTTGAGTTCCCCCTGGTAGGGTGATGGGAATGTATAGTTTAGAAAAATATAGAGTTTTGCGTTATACCCTTTGATCAGCATAATGCCAGATTAGCTAGGAAATGTGGTCGTGGCCTGGTTTATTTGGACTGGGAGTGGCAATCCAGGAAATGGACTTTACCAAAGAGCCAAGGTGGCATCTGTCTTCTATCCAATCATCTAACTGCTGTGGAAAAAAATATACTGAATAGCAAAAGTATTTGTACTGATAAATTTCTTTTCCTATCACTGAAACCAGTAAATCATTTTATAATGTTCATTCATTTGTAAAAACAGTTACCATCTACAGGGCGGTGGGTCCCCTACTAGGCTCCAGGATACAATTACCATGGTTGAATTTTGAGTCAGGTAGAGGGCTCTATGTAATTTGTCATATATATATATATATATATATATATATATCTGTATTTATTTATATTAACTATAAATATATTTTATATATAACTATATATATTTATTGATATATATTTATATTTATATATAACTATATTTATTTATAGTAACTATAAATATATTTATATATAACTATATATTTATATATTTTTAATATGTATTATATATATCATATATTTATATATTATATATTTTTATATATATAACTATATTTATTTATATTTATAGTTTATATATATTTAACTATATATATAGTTGTGTGTATATATATACACACAACTCTATTCCTCTATATGGTGAGAGGAACATCAGACTCACTTCTCTAGCTTCCTTGCCAGTCAATCTTGCTTTTTTGCTGGATACTCTTTAGAACCAGAGAAGTATTTGTGTTTTCCTAAACACACTGCATTGCCTCTTTCTTCCATGTCTTTGCTCGTTCAGTGACAGCTGCTTGGATTGCCCTTCTCTTTCTTCTTGCCTCACCAACCACTAGTTAATATCAGTGTAAACAGAGAGCTTGTCTCCCCCAAAATGTCCTGATTATCCAGATTTTCTGGGTAATTTTCTGCTCTCTGAAGGCATCCTGTACTTAACACTATCATAATATTTTCATGTCATATTGGAATTATTGCTTGTGTCTCCCCCCATTTGACTGAAAGGGAAATACCCTTGAACATGAGGGGCATTACTTGTTTTGCATCTGAATTCCTAGCAAAATGTGAAAATAGATCAGAAGCTCAATAAAGTTTTGACCTGAACTTGACTGCATACAGTCAGTATGCTTTCTTGCTTAGACCAAAAAACTTCCATGTTTTTTTTCAAGTACCTGGAGCGGCTCCCAGACCTCATTAGTCTCCTCTCAAGCATCCGCTCAACCTTGCCCAAGGAAAAGTGCATTATATCCTTTTAATACAGAGAGGAAAGGAACCTCAGGGATCAAGTTCAATGCCTTTCATTATTTGAATTTTAAAGTCATCTTGACACGGTTATGGAATCCTGGATTTGTGAGAGAATTATTGGGTTCCAGATCTAAAATCACCAGGATTTATCAAGTATGGTGCCTGACGCATAGTAAGTATTTTTTTAATGCTTGTTCCATTAAAGTAACCGAACCACATCTTATATTTGGCAATTTGATTACCTGCTCTGAGCTTTGTTTTTAATATGTGTACAACACAAATTATATCACAAGGTAAAATAAATTCGCCAAGCTTTAAGCTCCCTAGAGTGTTTTACAGTGATTTCTGAGAGTTCTACATGGTACATCTCAGATGCTCAGAAATCCTTTTCTCTTTCTTCAGCCTCCTCCTTCAGCTGCCCTGAGGCTGCCTTTGCTGGCTGCTTCTGCTACTGCTGCTCTGAGAAAGGGAACCGTGTTCTTGGTGTTGTGCTCTATCCCTTTAACTTCTCACTGGTCTGCAGAGACCAGGCAGTATCAGTTAATTGGATTTTATCAAAAATCCTCTGATACTATATGAGGGACACAATCTAGAGAATCATATGCAGCCCTGCAGCTTTCTCCAGCCAGTCACAGAGTTGGTATTCAAAAACTAAGAATTACTGATGTGCTCAGTAATAGAAGCACTCTGAAACAAGAAAGCAGATGTCCCAATCCAGACCAATTTTCCTCTTGATGAAGCATTAGAGATTGAGTTCAGAACCACATTTTTATCCTTCATAGTCCATTGTCAGTAATCATGTAACGCGCTCTTCATGGGTCTCATTCCTATACATTTCAGAATGTAGCTTCTATTACTCTCAATCAGTCTTTTTATCATCTTCTCCAAATCTAGCTAAAGACTTCCTTCCAGGTATGGTTATAAGTAAACACCTTGACCTTGTGAACCACACCTATTAGTGCCACAATTCTGGTGCTCAGATAAACATCTTTTTGTACAATGCTACATTAGCTTGACTTATTTCTGTCTGGGTGTGCACTACATAACACAGGATACTGTGTTGGATAAACTGTGAGTGACCTTCTGGAAATTAATAGTCAATTAAGTGAGATGTACCTAGGATTATAGTTAATATTTTGTAATGAAAGTACAATAGATTGGGGAGGGGAGAAAAGGGAATTAGTTTGGATGGATAATGTGGGGACTCTTACGCAGGGTCTTAAAGGATGTGTAGGGAGTAAGAAAGGCTTGAGCAGATTCGATGGGCTGATGAGTTGAGAGTATATTCAGAAAATGTCAAGTAGGCTGATATAAATGAATTTATGAGAAGGGGCTTTGGGAGAGAGGGTAGTGTGTTAAAAGATGAATCTAGAAGGTCATTTGAGGCCACCTTAAATGTGGAGAGTTTTACATTTCACAATTGGAAGTACGAATCAGTTTGATTGTTCTAAGAAAGACTGAGTTATATGCCAGGAAGAGCAGTGGCGTTTTAGCAATAGTTGGCAGTTGTCAGAAAGCCTTTATGTGATTTTTCCTTTTCTGTGGCCTTTGTAGGTTCAGAGCCCAATAATGAGCCTTGGGTAATTTTCAAGGAAGCAATGACCCTGTGCCTTACACCTTGGAGCCACAGTGGATCTGAGGTGGTAAGGGTGAGGTGAACCAAACACCAAAGCCAGAGAAAATCAATGGCTGTAAGTAACAGCAGCCACAGAGCTGCAGATTGCTCTAGTGGCTGCTGCATCGATTTCAGCTCCAGCTTCTAATTGCTGCAGTAGGCAAAATGCATGCTTCACTTTTGAATGTTTAAGGCTCTGTGGATTTTCCTGGAGCATGAGCTAGAGCTTTTTGTTTCCAGTGCTTCTATATATTGCTCATTTGAGCATTCTGCTAATCCCTGACCTGTGTGAAGCTTCTCCATTTCACGCTTATGCTCTATCTTCCAGGACACAATGTAGTTTTCAAGGACAATGACCACGGCTTAGATGTTCTTGTTTGTCCCATGGGGCTAGGCACATTTTCAGTGGACAATCCTTGATGAACTGAATTAAATGTCAATTTAAGTTGTGGTTATTATTGAAACATTATTGGTATGATATGAAAGACATTTTTAATCAGGAAATGAAAGCACTCAGAACCCCACTTCTGTACCACAATAATTGTATCCCTTTTTTCAAAATCTTTGATAGCTTTTGGTCATTTTCATGCCCATCTTGACATAGTTGCAATCCATTCATTCATTTATTTAACAATTCTTTGCTGAGTACATATTAAGTATGAAGCATTAATGATCAGATATTATAGAAAATGCAATTAGTAGGGACTGATAGTTTTGAAGATTTTATTCTCTTGATGTTATATCAAAATATTATACATATTATTTTATAACTTTTATAAAAGTTGGGGAAACAAACCTGGTATCTTCCTTTGCTCATAAGCCAGATGTGGTGTTACAGAGAACTAGAGACAAGTGCACTTAGACCACCCTGTAATGGGGTTTCAATTCATAGCCACTCTCATCAACTCAAACAGGTCAGGCAAGGACTGGTCTGATAGCTTTGGCTGTCAGTGGATCCATGGTAGATAGTGATGATGACTGACACTCATCTCTTATAATTGGCAGTGCATAATAGATAAAACAATTCTTACTGACAGAAAATGTTCACAACCAAAAATTTACATGAAAGCTAAGTTCAGACTTTCATGATTAATGCCCATATTTTGGGATTATTGAAACCTGAGAAAATAGGTCACAGAGGATTTTAACTATGTGGACATGAGAGCAAATTCAACTCTTTTACCTACCTACCCTTCCTCAAATAATCCCTGTCATTGAACAAAGATATTTCTACCTAAGTGGGTTCCCTTCTTCCCATCTTAGAGTGTCTGGGTTGCTCTAAACCAGCTGAGCAGGACAAAGTTGGAAAAAGCTGACGGCTATCCTAATGCTACTAATCCCTGCCCTTGGATACCGATGATTCAGATGAGCATCTGAGGAGGAAACATCCAAAGCTAGTTACCTGAAGCTCAGCTTTCTCTTCTTTAGAAAGTGCTGACATTTCTGCTTGGTTGATATGTAGCCCACATGATCTTAGACGTGCATGATCAAACAATAATGCCCTGGGAAGTCATATTCTTAGTAACTGTCATGTTGCTGTCCAAGTCGGGATTTACTTTCATTTTGGACCCTGACAAGGATTGGCTTTCCTAACCAAAAGAAGAATTAAGACCTTTTCCCATATCTGTTGAGCGCAGGTACTGATCAGAGTACAGAGAATGTACTGACCATGAGGGGCAGAACTCAGAAAGAGGAAGAGGGACAGGGCAATACAGCACCACTGAGCAGCCCTATACTTAGCAGTGAAGGGAAGTCAGGCAGTTTTATGGATGACATACTGGAGGAAAAGATAGCTTTGCATGGTAAAACTTCAACAGCCCAAGAAATGTTTAGCTTTATTTTCCATAGATTGTCTACAAAGAATTAGGCATTCGTTCAAAGTATAAAATTAGAATATTAAATATACTTTTATATAACACACTTTGGGCTGCCCAGATATTTTTATATGAGCCCCCTAAAGATTTATGTCACTTTGTTTAAATTTTTGAGCTAAACAAGCTTATTAGATTTCTAGTGATAAAGAACTTGAGACGAAACCCAGTAAATGCCCATTTTTGTTGCATTGCCTCATAAATTGCATATATTCTCACTCCAGAGAGTATATGCAGTTTTATTATCAAAATTTTATTTGTAATATACTTTTCTAGGTTAAGGAGCTCCCCACCAGGGATCTTAGTTAGCTGGTTAGATATACAGATATAGATAAATTTATAGACATTTAGGGCAAATGAACCTGATTTGACCTTTAGATTCCATATTCTTACACTAAAATTAACAGCAGATGAGAAAGTCCCACTACAGAAAGCGTTTTAGCTGATCTGATTTTTTTGTCCATCTGTCCAGAGTATTAAAAATAATGTTTATCTAATTCTTCCAACTGCATGTTTTCTTTCTTTCTCATAATGTGGCATAATGTCCTGTATTTCCAGACATCACAAAGGTAGTTTCTTTCTGGCCAGTTTGAATGGTGGTTGAGTTCAGGTCTTTAAATGGGTACATACTCAGGGATGCTCAGCATGTTTAAATGCATTAGAATATTTTCTTATGGTGAGCAGAATTAGTTTCAGATTTGCTGGGTATTATAAAATTAGTTTATGTGACTAAACTTTGTACATACCTTGTGGAATGTCCTCAAACACAGAAAGGATAAAAATTATTTTCTAGTTATCATGGTGTGGGTTGTTTTATCAAGTACTATTTTACACACGCACCCAAATACTTGCCTTATACCTAAAGTGAATGAGACTCTTTGAAGAATACTGAAATACTAAGAAGGAAAGACAGTGCCTGCCTTCAAGAAGATATTACTTGATTAAGAAAACAACCAAGTACTTAAATTTACTTCACTTTCAGGCAGTGTTGTAGGTGCTGTAAGGCTAGAGAAGACAATCTATGAGGCTGAAAGGTGGCAGGTTCGTAGGAATCAGTCACAGAAATCTGGACCAATGTCATGGAGTTCAGGGGACCAAAACACTTCTCACTGAGAGCACTGGAGAAGAATTCATAGAGGAGGAGGTATGTTCATGAGCTTTCAAGACTGGATGGAATTTCTGTGGTTAAAGATGTGAGAAAGGCCATTCGAGGTGAGAGGGAATGCCATGAGCAAAGACATAGAGACAGAAGCATGTTCAGGGAGTGTTGAAAAATCCACTTTCGCTAGAGGAAAGGAAGTAGAAAATATAGGAAAGGTAGATTAGGATCAGATCACGCTGTAATACGAATGATGGATTACTTTTAAACAGAAGGAATCATCAGAGAGTTTTGAACAAAGTAGTTATATGATTACAGGTGTGCTGGGAAGGTTAATCTTTGTTCATACTTAAGTACGCACTAACATTTTGACAATCTAAGGTATTTGGCTTTTGTTACAGTAGTGGCTTAGCAACAATGTGGAGAAAAATATCAAATTGCAAGCAACAGTAACTTTACTCTTACTAATATTGTTTCTAATAGTCATAATTTAAGGAATATGTCAGCGTAATTCTGATATGGCTTAGAATCTACATTTATGTAAAAGTGTTGTGTCCGGAATTGGTGGGTTCTTGGTCTCACTGACTTCAAGAATGAAGCCGCGGACCCTCGTGGTGAGTGTTACAGCTCTTAAGGTGGCGCGTCTGAAGTTTGTTCCTTCTGATATTCGGATGTGTTCAGAGTTTCTTCCTTCTGGTGGGTTCTTGGTCTCCCTGGCTCAGGAGTGAAGCTGCGGACCTTCGCGGTGAGTGTTACAGCTCTTAAGGCGGCGCCTCTGGAGTTGTTCGTTCCTCCCGGTGGGTTCGTGGTTTCCCTGGTTTCAGGAGTGAAGCTGTAGACTTTCGCAGTGAGTGCTACAGCTTATAAAAGCAGTGTGGACCCAAAGAGTGAGCAGCAGCAGGATTTATTGCAAAGAGCGAGAGAACTAAGCTTCCACAGCGTGGAAGGAGACCCCAGCAGGTTGCCACTGCTAGCTCGGGCAGCCTGCTTTTATTCTCTTATCTGACACCACCCACATCCTGCTGATTGGTGGAGCCCAGCGGTCTGTTTTGACAGGGCGCTGACTGGTGCGTTTACAATCCCTGAGCTAGGCACAAAGGTTCTGCACGTCCCCACCAGATTAGCTAAATACAGAGTGTAGACACAAAGGTTCTCCAAATCCCCACCAGAGTAGCTAGATACAGTGTCGACTGGTGCATTCACAAACTCTGAGCTAACACAGGGTGCTGATTGGTGTGTTTACAAACCTTGAGCTAGATACAGAGTGCCGATTGGTGTATTTACAATCCCTTAGCTAGACATAAAGGTTCTCCACGTCCCCACCAGACTCAGGAGCCCAGCTGGCTTCACCCAGTGGATCCGGCACAGGGGCTGCAGGTGGAGCTGCCTGCCAGTCCCGCGCAGTGTGCCGGCACTCCTCAGCCCTTGGGTGGTCGATGGGACTGGGAGCCGTGGAGCAGGGGGCAGCGCTCGTCTGGGAGGCTCGGGCCGCACAGGAGCCCACGGAGGGTGGGGGAGGCTCAGGCATGGCGGGCTGCAGGTCCCGAGACCTGCCCCGTGGGAAGGCAGCTAAGGCACGGCGAGAAATTGAGCACAGCAGCTGCTGGCCCAGGTGCTAAGCTCCTCATTGCCCTGAGCCGGTGGGGCCTGTCGGCCGCTCTGAGTGCGCGGTCCGCCAAGTCCACGCCCACCCGGAACTCGCGCTGGCCCGCAAGCACCGCGCGCAGCCCCTGTTCCTGCCTGCGCCTCTCCCTCCACACCTCCCCGCAAGCTGAGGGAGCTGGCTCCGGCCTTGGCCAGACCAGAAAGGGGCTCACACAGTGCAGCGGCGGGCTGAAGGGTTCCTCAAGTGCCGCCAAAGTGGGAGCCCAGGCAGAGGAGGCGCCGAGAGCTAGCGAGGGCTTTGAGGACTGCCAGCACGCTGTCACCTCTCAGTGTCTTAGTGAGTAAATTTTTACTTTATTGAAATTGTGTTAGAGACTTTTAATAATGTGCTTTTATGATGCATTTAGACTATGACTTGTTTTGAAGAATTTTATATTAGTAATTAAGAGCATGATTATACAACCTGTAATCAATCTTCTGGATAATTTCTCCAGGCGTCATCAATAAGGGAATTGTAATAGAAACAGTATTCATTTTGTAAAAATCAGTTATTTCTTTTCTTGATTATCGTGGTTTTACTGTAAAATGGACATGCTCTTTCAGTATCTCTCTTTTCCGTTTTTGTTTTGGTTATTTTTAATTTTACGCATATTACATCATTTTGAAAACCAGCAGTTCTATGAATGAACATTTTTTATTTGTGTTGATAAGGGATCTTTTTTCTGAGACCAATTCATTTACTTCTCAGAGTAAATGAAATTTGTGACTGCAGTTTCAAATTGAAGGAAGAACACATTTATTTAATGAATATATGAATAATTAAACTTTGAGGAAAGCATGTTTACAAATGCATTTATTTGTGCCTGGACATCCACTTTAGGTAGGGAGGTATGTTTAACAAGTGAAATTACTCACAAACTCCATTGTGAACAATATTTTCTAATGACCTATGCATTGATTTATTTTTCTGTGGGGAGGGTAGCAAGGCTGGTGGAAGACATACACATGAAATCTTACGATAAAATTAGCCTCAACCTTTATTATCAAGTATCTATATCAATAAGGTAGGTTTGCACTGAGAGCCCCTGTCAGAATTCTAGACAAAGCACTGGCGCTGCAGTTTAAACCATGTAACCTGGGCACTATGTCACATTATGTTGATAATTGATTCCAACTGCAGAAAAGGAGTCTCAGGCTGCCTCTTGAATCAAATCTCAAAGTGTATGCTGAGAAGCCAAGATTCAGGCAGCCACTTCTTTCCAACAAATATTTATGGGGTGCCTACAATATGTTTGCCCCTGACCCCACTCACATGCCTATTTTACCTGCCTTGAGGGGAAAAATGGAAGAAATAAAAACCATGGATGATTGAAAGTGTGTGTTCCCATATCCAATAGGGATAATAGGGACATGGGTCTCCTTTGAGGAGAACAGTAAAGAGACAGTGTGTATAACTGTCTAGGGCATCATCTTTTTATTTATTTATTTATTTTGAGACCGAATCTCACTCTGTCACCCAGGCTGGAGTGCAATGGTGCAATCTCAGCTCACTGCAACATCCGCCTCTCGGGTTCAAGCGATTCTCCTGCCTCAGACTCCCAAGTAGCTGGGATTACAGGCCCCTGCCACCATGCCCAGCTAATTTTTGTAGTTTTAATAGAGACGGGGTTTTACCATGTTGGTCAGGCTGGTCTCGAACTCCTGACCTCAGGTGATCCGCCTGCCTCAGACTCCCAAAGTGCTCTGATTACACGTGTGAGCCACCGCGCCTGGTGTAGAGTGTCATCTTTTACAACAAAGCAATTTGCTGATCTTGACACAAAATCATCTGAGGAGACACAAGAGTAAAACCAAAAATAAATAAATAAATAAATAAATAAAAATAAATGCTGACTTGTCTACGCCTTGATCCTGTTTACATTACCATCATTTGATCTAAGCCCTTATAATAGAAGCGTATACGTTCTTTCATAGCTTGGAACTACTCTTCCTGATCCATAATATATGCCTCCAGAAGTTTATCAATAGCCATATATATAATAAAACTGCCCCTTTGTCTAGAGTGTATATAGAAACTACTTCTATGTCCAGAGTATATATGGTTCCTATATAGAATTAGGAGACACTACTAAAATTCATCTAAACCAATTGGAAATAGGGACTCAAAGATTCTAGTGCATCATCTGATGTAATCTCTTAAATCTCTGGAACTGTGGTGCATTCATCTTCCTCCATGCAGATTAAATAGCAGAGAAAGCTGCAGAGAGAGATAAGAATGAAGCAGCCCCGTTTTGAGCCCTAGCTGCACACCTGCTCATGGTTCAGTGAAGCATGCCTGTATCCTGCGAGTTCTAACTAATATATCCCTTTAACGTCAGCTTAAGAGCTAGATCCCATTCGAAAAGCAGATCTCTGTAAGCATGGGAGGTGGAGAGGAAAGGCAGCATATGTCATTATTTGTGATATAGACTCATCCAATCTTAAAACTGCAATAATTTTTAAAGAGCTTCTACTTTAGCCTCATTTTATTGGCAGTGATATTGAATCTCAAAAAGAGGAAACACATTTTACCAGGTTAGACCATTAACAAGTCATTGTCAGTGTCAGAATTTGGATCTTATTTCAACAAGTTCCCACATAAATGCCATGTGAGGGAAACGTCTGAAAATGATACTGTGATATATGCACCTTTACAAGCAGTTCCATGACAAGTATCCCACATCAAATTACGTGCATTCGTGTATTATGCCTTATTCAAATAGATTTTTAACATTTTCTATCTCGTCTTTCTACAAAATGTGTATTAATGAAAAGCATTATTTCCATTTGTGTGGGTTGCTTATATAACTTTTGTTTCCCTTTAACTTACTCTGTGCATAGGCGATTCATTGTCTCTTCCACTTCCTTGTACAAGCTGCTTAATCAGTTGTTTTGCTCTGAGCTCAGCAGGGCCTTCCCAATTGTTCCGCAATCTATCTCTTATCCCTGTGGTGAAAATTTTATTCTTCCCCAAGGTCCTTACGCAACCCCTTTCTTGGTGATTACAAACACACTGTTTTCTTTACACAAACAAAGTGAAGGCTTTAAGGGATAAACTCCACCCACTTCTCTCACATTTCACATTTAAAAATGTCTTCCATTTTCTCTTTACTCAATGTCACTTGAGTCTTTTTTTTTTCTTCTAATGCTAAAATGTATCACTGTGGTCTCCTTCCCATGGATTCCTACATCGTCCTTGGTTATGATGCATTGATCAGCTCCTTCCCAGGAACTTCACCCTTTCTCCTATCACTGGTTGCTATCTCCACATAGAAAAATGGTTACGATTCTCCATTCTATGAAAATCTGCCTTAAATTTTCCCTTAAGTTGTACCATTAAATTGACATGCTTTCTCCATTTCACACCTACATTGACTGCTCTTAATTCCCTTGTGTGCAAACATTTCTTAAATGTTTCTGCTTGGTGTCTGCCTCAACGGATCTGCTCAATCATCTCTTAAATATCCATCAGAATTTTCTGATTGATGAATCTAGCAGCCTCTTTATTATGTTCCCTTTTTAAACTCTGTGAAACTTTTGAAATTATTGACCATCCCGTTCTTCTTTCCTCCAATAGCTTAGTGACATGGGCCTTTCCTGGCGGTCTCTGATCATGTCTTCTTACGAGCTAGTCTACTTAACTAGCACTCTGGTTTCTACACATCGATTAAGTAGGTATTTGCTAGGTTACAACCTTGACTTTTTCTCTTACCCACATGAATCAGACTAGTGTAAAACTTGAGTACGAGCTTAGGAGTAGGCTATACTGGCCATTTATTAAGTGGTGTGTCCTTTAGTAGTTACATAATGTTTCTATGACTTAGCATCCATGATCGGTAAAATGAAGTGAAAAATAATTGCTTACATTTTAGTGAACACTTACGATGTGCCAGGTACTGTTATAAACACTTTATATGCATTAAGTTACTTCTTATCACAGCTTTAGGGGGTTATTATCAGAACACTGAAACACAGAGAAGTTAAATAATTTGCCCCAAATGACATGGATATTAAACAGCTGAGCCAGGATTTGAATATAGGTAGTTCAGCCCCCGTGTTAATTGCTACATTATGCTGCTTCTCAATAATGATATTCTTTACTCATAGGATTCATATGCAATTCAAATAAAATAATGCATGTAAAGCTCTTAGTGTAGTTACTGCATAAATTAAATGCCTAGATAATGTTAACTCAATGTTTCTTTTATTGTTAATTTTTCTTTTGGTGGGTTACATTGGTGAGTTATACTTACTTTTCTGCAGTTGAATATCAAAATATATATCTCTAGCTCGTATTTATATCCTTAGGTACCTAATTATATATTTTTATCCAGTTGTAAGCTATGGACCTAAAATCAGCTTATATAAAATTGAACAGGTCCTGCTGCTTCCGTTTTTTGAACTTATGATCCTTATCTTAGTAAATGATACTGTCTGTCTTTCTAGGCCCCTGAGCTTAAACTTTGGAGTCATCATTACATGTCTATTCTTCCTCTCATTTTCATAATTAATACACAACCAGTACCTGCTTATAACTCTGAAATATTTTGGAATTTTTCCATTTTCTACTAGTGCCGGTTTATCTAATTAAGTGCTCATCATATGTTAGCTAGATTATTTCAATATCTCCCTAAAGTATCCTTGTCTTTATCATATCTTCTGTTTGACAACCAGATTAATTTCAAATCTTTGGGTAGTAAACATTTCTTGAACTGTGGGTCTAAACCAAATCCCAGTGGGAGCCTAATGTGAAGAGAGACACAAAACAGAACTGTTCAAACTGACTTGGGGATCTGGAATTAGAATTGAAGCCAAGGGCTCTCTTATTTTCCTCTGTTCTTGTCTCCTCTGAATTGATTTTTGAGTGGTATCTGTAAAGCTCAGAGGGCATGATTTGAAAAGTTTTCTTCTAAAACCAGCTTAATAATGTTCTTCTGCATAAACCATTTGTTAATATGGCACTTGAAGGCCTTTACAGATTTTCTCAAAGTACATTTTCAGTCTTATCCGCTGCCACTTGCATCTCATGCAGCCACATTTGCTGTTTATGATTCTTTGACGATCCCATTCACTCTCACATTTTCGTTCCTTTGATTATCGGTTTGGACTTCCTGAAATTCTCTCTTCATTTTCTGCCTCATTTAGTTTTATTTATTCCTAAAGATTTGCCTTAAATGTCACCTCATTTATATAATATTTACAGAATATCACAATCAAAACTAAATTCTCTCCTTTGTACTCTATGAATTTGGATTTGACATATTAAAGATTGAATCACTATCTTTTTATTAGAATTCCCTGTGTATATGTCTATTCCTCCTGCTCCTGAGTTCTGGTGGCTCAGAGAATGTGTTGTTTGTTGTATCCTCAATAAGAACCTGATATCCAAGGGCTTGGACTATAGCTGTTTAATGAACTGAAATAACTGGACCCATTTACCATCAACATTTGGGCATCAAGGATAGGTACTGCTTGCTTTCTTTGCCTTTTTGACTTGTTACGTTTGAAGCCTGACAGATCTTGTTTCAAATTTCTCTTTCTCAGATATCAATGGTAGTGTTCCTACTCCATATATTCTGATACATGATTTCTTTTTTATCTAAGCTCTTTTTGTTTTCATTACTGGTTTTTGCTCTTATATCCATCCATGTGTCCATCCATCCATCCATCCATCCATCCATCCTTCCTTCCATCCATCCTTCCATCCTCAGTTTATTCATTCTTAGAAGACTTACACCACCCATTTTTCTTAGGTAGTCTTCCCTGATCACACATAGGGGTCTATTCATCCTGCTAATATCTGCAGCTCCAACTGTTATCTGCCATACTTTTTAAATCCACCAACAATATCTTGTTTTATAATCATATATATTTGCAATATTTTCCCTAACTAGAATCTAAGTCCTTTAATAACAAAGACCATAAATGTGTACTCTCATTGTATCTCTCATAGTTCATGGTTGGAATTTGTGACCTTCTTTGCCTTTGTTGTATCACCTTTCCTTAGATGAGATCTTACCATGGTGAGAAAAGAAGCTTATATTTATAGTCAATAAATTTCCAACCCTATGTGATTTTCTGTTATTAAATATTTTTCTCTCCATTGATAAATATTTTATTAAAGATCAACAAGCTGTTTACTCCCATCCACACCCCTATCTCCACATAGGATGTTCTATCTTAAAAGATTCTGATGTGTCTGTCTTCTGGATAGTTCCAAATAACAGATCCAGCATATCACAAGAAGACAGCTCACAGCAGAGTTCTGACTGTGCTGTCTAACTGCGGATACTGTGCTATAGGTCTCTTCTAAAGAACTTGCTTGAAACTTTCAAATGTTGCCTTAGAGGAACATTCCCAAATTACATGTTATAGATATTATGCTAAAAGGTTTTCACAGTTAAATACATTTTGCAAGCAGTATCCTAAACAAGATAAAAATATTACTTTACTGCAGTACATCTTAGAGCCAGCATTATGCTAATGTACTGAATATACCAATGTGGGAAAAAGTATGCAGCATTTTCTAAAATTATTTGACCATGGGAAGCTATTTTTCAGAGATTCTCTCATTTCATGGACTGGAATTGAGAAAAATGTTCTTGGGAAACACTGCATGAAGAATTCAATCCTTTGCCACACTAAAAATTTTAACAGCTGGATGAGTTCTATTTTCTTTTTGTTGTTTTGTTTTGATGTGGATGAGTCTATGGAGGTCCAGAGAGAGTACAGTTTACTTCCTAGGGATCAGATGGCTAGTTAGCAGCATAATTGTGGTTAAAATACCTGCTTTATTCTTTCACTCGCATCGCTAAGGTAGCTTACATCCCTAAATAGGCCCCCCTTCCTGATCTATACCCAGGTCTTCTGCTTCCTTGAGGCAGGTTAGTTTCAAAGTTCTCTCTTGACTCATGCTAACCTCCTGTAGTCCTCTTAACTGGGAGTTGCAGGTTATTTCTTATTGACAATAGCTTCACATAATCCAGCTTTGCTGCTTTCCATATTGCAAAAATGTACTTACACACATCAAATTCCTGGAATAGTACAATTCCCCGAAGCAAGCTAAATCTTAGTAGTAGTCCTAGGTTATATATTTATTAGAGAAGGATTGCTTTTAACTGTGTTGGCTCCGGGAACATTTTCATAAAACAGAAGAATTTGTACATTTGGTCTAAGATTTAAGAAAGACCCTAAAAACGTTAATAAGTATGTTCTGCAATAAAGCTAATATAAACACATCAGCTTTTACTGTGTTTTGCTATCAATTTGAAGAATTCGGGTCTTTTATCTAATTTAGATTTAAGACCTTTTCCACTGAGAAGTCTTTATTATCCTTTGCTCCTTTATTTTATAGGAGGGACTATCCACGGAGAAGGATATTTGAAGAAACATGTGTCTTTGTCCTCTTCATCTCCCTCCCACCCTAGAATGATTTCATTGGGAAGGCAATGTAGATGTTGTATTCCCTATTATTTATTGACATTTTTGAACTCCATATGCCCCAGTGGATTGGACAGATGGGTTTCCAGTTTCCAGGAAATAAACCCTTGGGGCATGGTCTTCAGTAGTGAAAGAGGCCCAATATTTTCCACCGTCTCTGATTGTGACTGGTGGATAAATCACGTTATGGTGCCTCTCATGAAGGGGAAATGGGAAGCCCAGGCTGGCCTCAGATCTCAGTTGCTGCACCCAGTTCTTCTGCTTCCTTGAGGCCAGTTTAGTTTCAAGGTTTTCTCTTGACCCAAGTTAAACTCATGGGAACTACCGGGCCTCTTCCACAATTGGAGAGCTTGCTCCATAGGTTTATTTCTTGGAAACTAAAAAGCATAATTGGGGAGTTAGTGGGCCTTCATTAATATAAATAATCTTTTGTCTCCAATTTATTCCTGGTGCCCCTTCTCTGCTGATTCAATGCTGAATATCAGGCGGATGATTAAGTGTCACCTGGACCACCCAAACCCCTGTATATATAGACAATTGTGGATCAGAATGGATGTGGGGAGAAGATTGACTGATACAGATTTTATGAGGCTTGAAACTTATCTATTTTGGGGATCTGCTTAAGAAAAAATACCAAATGAGATGTAAACATAAATATTAATTTAGAATAAAAAACATAAATTATAATACATAAATTTTTAAAGTTGAGAACTGTTGTATTTATTATTAATTAACTGCCTGACTTCTATAATATTTTTCTTTCTTTATTTGGATAAGTACTATTTGATTATCTTTTCTTATAATATTTTATAATATCTATAGAGAGAATAAAAATGTTGCTCAGTCTTTTTCTCAATCATAGTTAATTGAATTTTCAAAATTATTGATCAGAAATAATTCTAGTAATGGTATCTAAATTTGGGGGTTCATTTTCAAATTTTGAAAAAGCTCTATCATATATCTTTCATTCATAAGTTATAAGATTTGGGAGAATTTTCTGTAAACTAGCTTTCAGCTCTGTACATGTCAAACCTTGCCTCTGCTCCATTACCCACTTAATTTCAGTATCTGGTGCTACAGACAGAGTCCTATCCGCACACGAACACTACCCTATACCTTCTTGTCAAGACACGGGGTCACCTGGCACAGTTGGTGGTAGTAGCATCCCTGGAAGCCATTTCTGTACAGAAATGGCCAACTATCACTCATCTGTATATGGAAGTGATTGCAAACCACACCACTAAATTTCTTTAAAACCAAGCTAAACGTGTTGCAAATTTAATTTCCTACTCAATACCTGAGAAGAAGTGTGACAGCAATAAAGTTAAGTGGAAAGTCAGTGGGGTTCACTGCTGCTAAAACATGTTTATTCTGCAAATTATGTGAAATCACGTAACTGATAGAATCATTGTTTGCCTCCTTCAAGCCTTAAGGGGCCTGTGCAAGTGAGAGCCCTGGAAGATTCAGTATTACAGTAAATCTTCTGAGCAGAAGTCTTGTCATTGCAGAAACCAAAAATCTTTGAAGGCATTATTTCTAACTTAAGGAATGAGTCAGGTTTTAACTGAAGAATAGCTATGTACCTATTTTTAAATCAAAACGTTTCCTAATGATCTCCTACTGTAGAAACAAAATTTAAGATGGAAATTATTTTCTGGAGCTTTAAACTCTTAAAATAACAACAATAATCACTACTTAGTTATCACTTACATGTGCTAGCACTTAACATATGTGATTTCTAATATCACAAAAACCCTATAAAACTGGAAGAACACAAACGGCAATAGGCCTTCTAAAAATTCTTGTTAGGGAAAACAGATTTATGGAATAAAGCTTATGCATTTATACAGAGTTGCTTGATTTAAATTTCAAAGGTAAGTTGGGTTCTGATAGATAAATCAATTTCTAAAGATTAAACAGGGATTCAGAGTAAGGCAATCTCTCAGATGTGTTAAAATTTAACAGGAAGTAGGGTTGAGATGCAGTTCTGTTTTTCTTTGGGGATAAACCATCTACTAGCTGTGATGGATTTGTTGTATGTGTGATTAATATTGCATATGTTTGTGCTTTTCTGTATCTGCAGAAATGTGTAAGGACAATCAAAACCTTCCATTAGCTTGTCCTTCAGCCTCCTGTCCTTAACAGTATTTCACTTTTATTTTTCTGTTTTTTTCCCCAGCTTTATTCAGATATGATAGACAAATAGAAATATATATATTTAACATGTACAATATGGTGTTTTGATATAAATATTCCTTGTGCAATGATTCTACAATCAAGCTAATTAACATATCATTATTTCACATAGTTACTATTGTGTGTGTGTGTGTGTGTAGTGAGAATACTTAAGACCTACTCTCTTAGCAAATTTCAAGTAAACAATACATTGCCATTAACTGTAGTTGCCATGCTGTACTTTAGATCTTTACAATTTATTCATCTTACAGCTGAAGGTTATAGATGTAGTATTTCAACCCATTTCCATCACTTCCTCCATTCCCTGCCAATCACCATTGTACTGTGTTTCTCGAAGTTTGATCTTTGAAGATTCCACATATAAATGATATCATAAAATATTTGTCTTTCTGTGCCTGGCTTATTTCACTTAATATAACCTCCTCCAGTTTCATCCATGTTGTCACGACAGAATTTCCTTTTTTAAAAAAAGGCTGAATAATATTCCATTATGTATACATGGTATGATTTCTTCATCTGCTCATCTGTAAATGGATGTTTTGTTTGTTATCATGTTTTTGTTATTGTGAATAATGTTGCAATTAACATGGGACTGCATATATTTCTTGGAGATATTGATTTTATTTCTTTTGGATATATACCCAGAAGTTGTTTGCTGGGTCATATAGCAGTTCTACTTTTAAATTTTTTGAGGAAATTTCAAACTGTTTACCACAATGGCTATACCAATTTTCATTCCTACCGACAGTGTACAGGGGTTCCCTTTTCCTTTACGCTTTCAGCAGCATTCATGATCTTTTGAAGTTTTGATCCTGACCATCTTCACAGGTGTGAGGTGATATTTGACTGTGGTTTTTATTTTCATTTCTCTGATGACTAGTGATGTTGAGTGCCTTTTCCTATGTCTTTTGGCCATTTTTATGTCTTCCTTGGAAAAGTATCTGTGTTTTGGAGGAGTTTCATCTCTTTTGTAATTCTACTTAATACCTTCATTTGATTTTCAATTTGTAGTCTGTTGGAATAATGTTTCTACTCTTTTATATCTGAATAAAATATGTATTTCAACTATATAAATTGTCTTCTGATTAACTTGAAGATCTTGTTAATCAATTGCAAAAATCATAAGAAAGCCATTTGCTTCATTTATCAGATAAGTGAAAGTGTACTAATACCTTATTTTTTCAGTCAATCCTTTCAGAAATAGATAATTCCATGAACAGAACTCTAAAACTAATATATAACTAACACCTTGAGTAAGCAAGACTTTTTGATATTTAAGTGGTTTTGGTGAGAAACTTTCTAGAGTCATTAAACATTACCTTACTTTAACAAACAGTAGGAAACTAAGAACTAATAGAAACTAGGAATCTTGACTAGTTTCCTTGCCTAGAGGAATCATTGTAAGTAATTATTATACTTTCATGTCACATGTGAGTGCTCTGGTAGCTGGATGTGCAGTTTTTGAGTGTGAGGAGCTATTAAGGTAACTACTAGACTTCTGTATGTTTCTGGTTATTTTCCTCATTTCCAGCTAATATTTCTTCTTGTGTGGGTCCTCAAAAGACTATTACAAACTTTGCTTGTTAAATGATTAAACTTGATGTCACATGAAGCATTACTAAGTTTTTGCTCTGAATATGGTGTCACTGTTCCCCAAAAATATCACAGACTTTATCATAGTTTGCCCCCTGCTGAGGAGCTGTTTGCAGATCTGTGGCCATGTTCCTGTGACTAAGATTGCCAGACACTGGAGGCATTACTGGCTGGTGCCTGAGGGATATTAGAATTTTTTTTTTGTCTGAATTAGAAATATCCCTTGAGTTTACTAATGTTCCTGCTCTTGCATGACTCTGTGCTTTCGACAACTCCTCCCTTTCTTGGGAATGCTCTTCATCTTCCAATATTTTGGAGCCAAGCCCACTTATCCTTTAGGATTCAACTTCATTTTCACTCCACTCTGCGTAGCCTTCCGCGTTACTCTCCTCTCCTCCCCGGAATGATGTTTTTTGTCATCTATAAAACTTCTCTATTTTAAAACTTACTATAATTAATATTTTCCTTCTCCACTGAAGAGTGAGATCCTTGAGGGAAGAAACCATGTTTTATTCATTTTTGCATCCCTGCCTGTTGGTCTAATGCCTGTCACACACAGACCCTCAATAAATACCACTATTTATTGAAGAATAAATAATGAAAGAAATAAATATGTTAATTAGCTTGATTGTGGAAATTATTGTATAAAGAAGACATATAAAATGAACTTTCCATTCATTAATTCATGCAATAAATGTGACTTAAGGAATATTATCGAAAGCAAATACATTACATTGACAGTTCCCTTAAGCAGTTGGAATATCCGATTTAGGATCTGTTACTACTCATTAGACAAGCTGAGATCTGCTTTAATCATGGGTCTCCTTTGCTTACCTTAAAAACTGACTTCATACCCACACAGCTGCCTGTGTCCATGGCAACTGAAATGCATGAATACTGATTCTGAAACATAATCTCTCTAGAAAGTCAGGCCCTCTATTAAAACTGTAGGTTGCATTTGTATCTTCCAAGACAGGTATTATCACAAGCTTGCATAGGTATCTATTTCAACTAAGCAATGGTGATTTCATACATCATCTTGTTTACAAAGTAGTTTCCACTTGGAGCATAGTGAGCTGTTGATAGAGCTTTTGTGGTGGGAACCCAGGAGCACATCAATTGCAGAGACAACCACCAATAGTGAGGGTACAGCCCATGGCATTTTCTTTATGTGTCACGTGGTATTATAATTTCTTTGCCCCAGTTTAATAAAGATGGCAATGCAATCTGTGCTTTCTGTAGACTTCTGGAGGTGAAGACAGCATCGTATGTCCATGTCCCTCAGTGAAAGGATTCCATGTGGGAATGGCTCCTATATGAGGATGGAGATCCTATTCTTCAATGTTGTTAACCCAATCTTATGAGGAAATTAAGATTTAAAGTGATATAGTGACTTGGTCAATATATGCTACAAAATGACAGAGGTGTGGCTGGAACCACAACCTTTTAATGTGAGATGTGACACTCATCTTTTTGTTGCATTTTCCTCCTGTTTGTAATTTATAAGAACATGAATTTAATGAAACTGGGTGGAAGCATGGCTTTTATATCCTGCACTAGTAGATTTGAAATAAATATCTATCTCAAGTGTGTATGGGAAAAATGTGTATTTTGTTCTCAGAGCAATCTAAGACTAAAATGGAAGATTTCAGGGATTCTAGAAGATAATATCTTAGCTGTGGTTTGCAGTTTATGGTAACATTAAATTCATGCTACCCATAATAAATTGCGGATCCCAGTTCAGAAAAATATCCCAAGCTCCTCTAAGTCAGACCCTTTGATTTCAAGGAGAAAAGGATGTCATTTTATAGCAATTCTCCGTATCTCACCATGGAGGGATGTCTTATTACACAATGTAGGCGTGAGGAACCAGAGTGTGAGGAAAAGAGATTAAGCCTAGGGAAATCTGACTGACTATTATTTTAACCTGGGTAGTGAGTGAATTATTTTAACCTGGGTAGTGAGTGAATTATTTTAACCTGAGTTGTGAGTGAATTCTCTTCTTTGTGGATTTTATATTTTGTAAGCTCTGCTCTCATAGAAGGACTTTAAATTAGATCCTTACTATGACTAGTAAAAAATTGAGTTTTTAAAAAAGAACTCCATCTTTACTTGCTGTCCCCCAGCTTAACTTAGCTTCACTAAATGCCTTCTTGAGAAAGCAGAACTACCCTTCTGGTTGAGGTAGGCAAGAGGAAGGAAGCTTCCTGGGGCTTAGAAAGCATTGGCTCCTTTATTCCTAACTTTTGGTAAACTAGTAGAATTGGCACTTAACTTTTGCCACTATTTCTTTTATTTTATTTTTTCCTTAAATTCTATTTTAGGCCGGGTGTGGTGGCTCACGCCTGTAATCCCAGCACTTTGGGAGGCCGAAGCGGGTGGATCACGAGGTCGGGAGATCGAGACCATCCTGGCTAACACGGTGAAACCCCGTCTCTACTAAAAATACAAAAAGTTAGCCGGGCATGGTGCCAGGTGCCTGTAGTACCAGCTACTGGGGAGGCTCCGCCAGGAGGCGGAGCTTGCAGTGAGCTGAAATTGTGCCACTGCACTCCAGCCTGGATGACAGAGCGAGACTCTGTCTCAAAAAAAAAAAAAAAGTTCTATTTTAGATGGAAAACTATGCAATCGAAGAGTATCCAGTGACAGTAAGCTTCTCTACTACCCATTTTGTTCAGACATCCAGTCTTTTTGTCCAGAGAAAAATTGTTACTAGTTTCTGGTAACCATTTACCTGAGATACTCTGTAGAGGGTAAGGGAGAGTTTATGACTGTCTTCACAGAGCTAAGTCCTAAAGGATGGACAGGTACCTACAAGAGAGGGAGCAACATTCCAGGCAGGGAGCAACATGTGCAAAACATTGACATATGAGGTCATAGTTACATGGCAAACCTAATGCTCCAAAATTCCTTTTACTGGGCACATTATTTCTTCATCTTCCCTCTGCTTAAAGTAGTTTTGCCTCTTCTTGAACTTCATATAAATGGAATCATTCAGTATGTACTCTTTTGCTTTATCACTTTGTTCACTCAGCATTTTGCCTATTTCTTAATGTTGTCATGTTTAGCAGTAGTTAATTCATTTCAATGTTGTGCAATATTCTATTGTATCAAGAAAATTTATTTTCTTGATATTAGACATTTAATCTATATTAGAACTTCCATCACACTGCCCTGTATTAACCAGTTCACATTTGTTTCTCTGACAGATCTTGTGTAGTTTTTGAGAGCATACCTCTTTCCAGAAGAAATTCAATATAGGTTTGATACTGGGAAACTGGAAGGTGATGCCCCAACTTCATTGCTCTTTCCTTTGGTCTTGATGACTGTAACAGTACAGATGATGTGGTTTCAGATCATATCCATGTTATTATGCCGACCTATTTGTATTGCCAATGACCAAATAATTTTCGTATCTTTAAAAATTTCATTCCGGTGATTCATAAACCATATTTTCACCAAATTTGTGGATAAAAGGCTGTCTTTTACATTATCCTGTTTAAATTCTAAGAGCAGTGATATCACAGAGACCACCAGCACTTGTGCCAATTTTTCTCCATGGGAAATACTTTGCTGAAGTCTGTATGGACTATCTAGCTATTAGGAGCTACACCTCTTTTGTCTCTACAAAGGCCTTGACTAGAGATCAGAAGTTATATAAAATCATGTTCACGTTACTATCCTGCATTTAGACTTACAACTCCTAGTAATTTCTGCAAAGCATTTATTCTGCAAATTGGTAAGAGGAAAGAGTTTTTGTATTTCCAGGTTGGGTCCTGCAGCTTGGGCCTTCTGATGTGGTGACAGAGGCAGCCATCCTGGGTGGGCCTGTCACTGGAAGGGATGAGTCTGCAGGAATCTCTGCTCAAAGCATTTTCTGAGTTGTGCCCTCCTGGCAAACCCAGCAGCTTTCTTAGTAGGCCCATCTATCCTCAGAAATGCTTTTCAGCCTTCTAGACAAATCAAATTCCCTCCCCACTTCCTATAACGGCAGCTGCATGAATAAAAGCAAACCCAGCTAGCTTTCTAGCATGATAAAATATCTGGAGACAAAAACACCAAGGAGTTGATGCAAATGAAACCACAAAAATATTGAAGTAGAAAGTGAGCTGATGTGTTATCAGAACTCAAAAGGTCATATCTAGATGGTCCAAGGGTAGATCACAGAATTTAAATTGGGTACCCATAGAATTCAATTAAACCCGCAAATATTGACTCGGTGTCTAGTCTCATTGGGACACATTAGCAGGGAGGTGGGGTGTAATAGGCAGGGTGAAATGAGAGGTGAGTAAGACATAAACCCTGCTTTCAGGAAACCCTCAGCCTAGGGTGGAGAGGGTAGAAGGATATAAGGAAAATAACTATGATAAACTATGGAGGCAGAAAACAGTAATGATGAAGTCCCAGGTGCTGGGGTCAGACTGCAGCCTGGTCTCATCACTTAGATCTGAGTGACCTTGGGCACACTGTGTCTCTCTAAGCTACAGTTTCATCATCTGTAAGACTGGGTTTAATGACACTGTCTACTTTATAATAGTGTTGTTTTGAAAATTAAACCACATAGCCTGTCCACAACATTTAACCCAGCAACTGCCACATAGTGCTTTATGGATGACAGCTTTGAAATATCAGGGGAGGGACAAAGCAAGAAGGAGAGGTTGCACCCAGCTGAAGAACTTAAAACAAACTTCAACGAATAGGTAACATATGGAAAGCAGAAATAGGATATCAATTGATGGAAACTGGGGAGAGACACACTTAACATATGTTCATAGTAGCTTCCTGTAGGGCTCAGTAGTCTCTGAGGTCAGGGTCCGTGTCTGTCACATTTGTCAACATGTCCCCAGTACCCAGCACCAGAGAGGGGTTCATTTATGACTAAAATAATAAATTCTCTAGTAAAACAAACATCATCAGGGACAGAGGCACAAGGTATGCTTGCAGTACCCTGTATAGGTAATTCCATCAGTGGTCTTGCTTCAGGCAAAGCTGGAATGTGAGATTGGAGGCAAATTGTGTAGGGCTTTGAGCACAGGACAAAGAGCTAGGCCCACAGGCAGTGAAATCATTGTGCTTGTATTTCTATCCCTTCGAATTTTGAAGGAAATAAAAAAAGCCACTGAGCTATACTGCAGAGTCAGCTGAATTATTATGAACTCATCTTTCATTTTCCTGCCATCAGTTATGTGCAAATTAGACAATCTCTTATGCCTATAAATTGCTTAAACTAAGTTTGTGCTGCAAATGGTGCCAGTGGCTTTAGATGTGGCTGTCTCAGCTGATAATGAGGTTTACAGGGTCTGTGAGGATTATTTTCTAGAGCAGGCAAAGTCTGCAGCAATCAAACCTGAAATGCTTCTTAGATAAAAATGTGTGACTTCACTGGTCTCAGGTACTCAAATATCAGAATTTTTTTTAATCCCTGGTTCTCTTTAACTTTTTATGGACTTCTTATGAGGTTGGTAGTCCAAAGCTACTATTAGTCAGTCCAGTGGTAGCTGCCTGTTGGGCTAAGTAGTCTCTGAGGTCAGTGTCCATGCCTGTCACATTCATCAATATATCCCCAATATTATGATCATTTCCAAGCCTTTATTTTGTCAGCCTTCAGCTTTCAGTATTTATAAAGGATTTTACAAATATTTTCCAAATATAACATATCACTTATTTCTCAGAACAACTTTGTTCCGTGGATTTTATCGTATGACAGAGAGGATGTGGAGCTCAGACTCCTTCATCTGATTCCCAGTTGCAGGCTCTCGCCGCTCAACCCCACAGCCTGTGTAAAGCATCAGTGTTTTCTGAGCTCTCCAGAATTCTTCCTGTACTGACTACTTATGTGTGCAATGCTTCATCTTCAAGATACAAAATGGTTTCCTGCTTCTATGGGACTTCCTTTATATACTTTATACAAGTATTCTCTTGATCACTTTTTATTTTAAAATTCAGTTATGACTTCTTGTCTTCAACAGAAAAACAACAGAGTAAATGATCTAATAATTAACTGGGTTACTTTTCATAAGGTCTCTTGATCTGATAATGGTAGCAGGCCCAGCCAAACCTATAAGTAAGATTCTAATGCAGAAATCAAAAGACATTTATCTAGCTCTTCATGTGGAAGAATTTGGAGAAAGAAGGCAAATAAATGCCTGATACTCCATTCACAAGTGTGTTCGTACCTGTGAAGCTGAGAGCAGCACAGGGTGATGTGGTAGGAAGTGCGTGAGCTTCTCAGTCAGGCTCACCTGGGTGAACTGGCTCAGCTGCTCTCAAGCCATCAAAACTTCATCTTGATCTTGAGCTGAGTGCAAACGCCAACCCTCAGTTTTCTCATTTGTAAAGGGGATTTAGTAATAGTTACATAATATTCACTCACTTCAATCATTCACAAGTCAACAGATATTTACTGAATACCTATTATGATACAGACATTATTCTAATTATTAGGAATGCAGCCAAGGATAAAAATAACAATATATGGTTACTATCTCTATGGACTTGAGGTGTACTGAAGAAGACAGCATTTTATAGATAATTATGCAAATAATTAAAATGTTGATGAAGGCTATGGGGGATGATATAGTTAAATATTTGTCCTTGGTCAAATCTTATGTTGAAATATTATAATCTCCAATATATTGGAAATATTAGAGGTGGGGACTAGTGGGAGCTGATTGGATCATGGGGGTGGATCCCTCATCTATGCCTTAGTGCTGTACTCATGATAGTCAGTGAGTTCTCATGACACCTGGACATTTAAAAGTGGGTGGCACCTCCCCTGTCACATTCTCTGTTGCTCCTCTTCTCTCCGCGTGAGTGCCTGCTTCTACTTTGCCTTCTGCCATGAGTAAAAGCTCCTTGAGGCCTCTCCAGAAGCTGAGCAGATGCCAGTGCCATGCTTATACAGCCTGCAGAACCGTGAGCCAATTAAACCTCTTTTCTTTATAAATTACTCAGTTTCAGGTATTTCTTTACAGCAACAAAAGAACAGCCTAATACAGGAAAATGAAAACATCTTGATTTGGGGGAATGTTTGGGAGATCAAAATATCTTGATTTGGGGCATGTTCGAAATCAAAAATCTTGATTTTGGGGCAATCAAAAAGTTCTAAAATTGAGACAAAAAGGATGAGCAGGGTGAGTTGCCTTACGGGGTTGTTGAGAGGATAATGGACTTTGCTTATTGGAGTGCCTAGCATAGCAGCTGGGACATGGTACTCAGTGATAACAATGAGAACGATAATATTGGACTCGGTGACTGCCCACTTCAGTCACTTTGGGGTATTCCAAGAAGTGAGTGTCCCCATCATCTTTCCCTTTCCCAGCTCAGATCTCTTCCTAGGGCACAAAGCCCTGCTTCCCAGGATTAGACGGAAAATCCACAGAGATTTATTCTAAGTTACTCCATGCTATGTTGTTATTGAATAATGTAAACTCAGTCCTGAGACTGATAGAAATAACACAGGAATCAGTTATTCCAATCTATGCTAAGTAACTAATAATTGATATAATATCCCATCCTGAGAGCAGCTTTTATTAAAGGGGAGAAAACATAAGAATGATTCCTGAGAATGGAAGAAAAATGATTCCTGAGAATGGAAGAGGCAGCGCATAGTGGGAGTATGTGTGTGAAGGGGAGGAAGGGGTAGAGAATGTCAAACAGAGATCCTAGGAGCTCTCACACTGAGGTAATAGGAAAAGGTGGGGGTGTCTGAAAGCATGCTGGTGCTTCCTGATGAATTTATCCAGGAAGCCTGTAGGATGTCTATTTTCTGATGGCAAAAGTGGTTCCTGCCACATTCACGATCCATGAAATTTTTTAGTTAAACATGACCACATCAGTGGTCCCTCATGTTTCTTTGGAGTTTTGAACTGAGGTTATTCCACAGTCACATCACCTCTGTTCGTCTCCTCCATCCTGGAGACCACTGACTGGTGCCAACTGTGCCAGTAAGAAGACATTGTTTCTGTATTGTTGGGCCTTCTGAAGACCGAGAGAAAACTAGACTCATCTTTCCATCTGCCATCTATCTAGACTTTTTGAGCACCTGTTAATTCTTGGTCCTGAGTTAGAAGTTGTGGATAAAGAATAAATCAAAAAGAGTTTCTGCTCTCAGAGAGTTTACAATCTAGTGTTTCAATGGAGCAAAGTAGCAGGACCTGTGAGAGCACAGATGAAGAAATGACTAACTTGGCACAGTGTACTGGGAAAAGGAAGGTATTTGCATAGACCTTGAAATGAGGTCTGCCTACCAGAAAGGTGGGTGATGTATTCTAGGCAGAGCATATCCTGTGAAAATGCCCAGCAGAATGAGAAAGAACATATTTGTTAGATGAAGTGATCCATGAAACAGACATATTTAAGAATCATTAGTTTAATTAAATGTATTCTGTTTTGAGTCCCTTTGAGTGGTGCAGAAAGAGAGAAAAGGAGAAAGAGAGGGAAAGAAAGAGGGGGAAGGAGGGGGGATAAAGGGAAAAGGAAGGTAGGTGAGGAACAGGGCCATCTCTGGTGGAGGAGCATTGAATAAATGAAGGTGACATATGTGACTCAAAGGTTCACAGGTTAAAGATGCCCAAATTCTTGTTAGTCTTAAGTACTTGGCCATGTTATTAATCTCATTTTTCCTCATTTATGCACTTGGTCATGTTTTCAACCTCATTTTTCCATTGACATGGAAGAGATAGCCTGACAACATGTTCCCATCACTGAGGATTCTTTCCTGGCCTCCTAATTCTAAAAAGCAGTGATTTTAGAGCTTGATAACCCAAGGATTGAATCCCCACTCTTCCATTATTTGTCATATGACCTTGAACAAGTTTCTCAACATCTCTGAGCCTCAGTTTCTCCTCATATAACATAAGGAGGTGGTCTTTCTCTTGCATTGCTGTTGTAGGGATGAGTCATAATTTATATAAAGGTCTAGTGTGGCCCCTGATATACAGGAGGCACTCAGTGAATGGGTATTGTTATTACTTCTGTCATTATGTTTTGTTTTCAATAGTAATTATTCTAGTATTATTTCACATTTTTGTGATTTTTTTTCTATATTAAATTGTAAAATCTGTGGAGAAAGGCTAGATTTTACTCTTCCCTAGACACCTGACTGGTACTATATACTTAGTAAATACTTGTAACTCACTGATAGAAAATCCTGTGATGCTTGAAAATGTGGAGTTGAGAGAATAAACTTCTGTTGACTTTTCTGGTATAAACAATTTTATGTGATATGTGCTGTATAGAATTTATAGGAACTTCACCAAAGAGAAAAACAGATAACATTCAATCATAAAAGTGATACGCAATCTCAGAACGATTCAGAAAGAGTCCTTAATCCTGTTCATGTTGCTATAAAATGAATGAGTTTTATCTATAAAGAGGGGCAAGATGCAGGGAAATATTTTGAGGGCATGCTGTTAGCTGGATCTTATGTAAAATTATTTGTTTTGACCAAGGCTTCCTTCTAATAGGATTAATACTGAATGGAAGGCATTCTCTTTCACTAGAGAATTCCAAAAGTTCGTGTACAAAGGAGTCACATGGAAAAGCTTAGAAGATGGCAGGGTTGTAACCCCAGAGATTCTGCTTCAGAACTTTAGTTCTGTTTGTGTCCACTTATATAGTGAGGTTCTGCTCAGGCCATAGGCTTGTCCTGGGTCCTCTCTGCCCACCCTTCCAGCCCTGCCCCAGGCTGAGACACGGATGTGCTTGTGCTCCCACAGAGGCCACCTCAGCCAATACTGTCACCTGATGGCCATTATTCTCAGCTGCCATGTGGCCTTCTGAGCCAATAGATAATTATCCTCTTTAGTATCCCTGCAAGCAGAGCTGGGGTTCAGGAATTTGCTAATTACTGTTCCCTGTTGACTAATTATCCACATCCATCATGTATATACTTGGACACATTTAGTTTTAAAATCAATTCAAATCCAAAGTCCTCAGTCACTTACCTGAGTGGATGCCCATGATATATTTATATGTTGCTGCCACCACCAGCACTGAAGGCTGCAAACACTAATAATTACAGCTACAGAAGCAACTATTGCTTACTGACACCGACCACTTCCCAGGAGCTTTTGTGGAGGCTCTAACGTTTCCCTTTGAAGTAGCTTTGTCCCTTACTGTGAATACAGAATCTTGGCTCAGAGAAATTAAATAGCATGTTCAAGGTCACAGTGTTGGTAAGCAGAAGAGCTCTGATCCAAACCCAAATCTGTCTGATTTCAAAACCTCTGCTACTTCCACTAAAATGAAGGGAAAGCAAATAGTGTCTTTTCAATGCTTGTGTTAGTTGAGTATGAATTGTAGCATTTCAAACTTAAGTCTGGATGAGAAAAGAACCAATTTTACTTTTTCAAGATGAGAATCTAGAATGATTTCTCATATTTGTTATATTAGATCATTCTTATTCTTTTATTCCAAAGATTTGCTGTGAGCCAGGTTGAGTCAGTGCCGTGCCCTGTAAGGGAGCATAAACATCTTCAGGTATAACCCAAGCCACGGGCTCCAAATGCGGAGTTTGAATACAAGAAGCAAAATATAGTCTTTTGAAATCTTCTTTTTCCTTTTCTTTGTTAAGCCAAATAATACAATTTGCTACACACATTTCAAGGTAGCTTAGAAATGGAATAGCTTCACCACGAGCCTTTCTGCAGAGGACAGCCTGAGAGTCAAGTGAGAAAGTGACAGCCAGAAGCTAGTCCATCTCAGGCAACAGAGGAAATCTACTGCATTGCAGAGTCCCAGGGACGACCTAATGGAAAACAACAGCGAGAGTGTGAGCCAGGGCTCTGCTGGTGGAGTGGGGAAATGCAGCTGCAATTCCAGGACACACAGAGACTGCACATGTGCAGAAGCATGCAGAGAGAATGTTTGCATCTTTCCTGTAAGGTGAGCAGAAAACGATCCTCCCTACAAAAAGATTGCAGGAGAAAACTTCCTGGAGGTTGAGAATAACATGCAAAAATAATGTCCTGTGATGAGGAAACTTGGGCCTGAGTGTGCACAAAGGAATGATCTTTGAGAGGAACCACTCATACCTAGAAGTCATTCAATAATGCGTGCTGGATGCAGTAAGATGCGAGGGTGGTAGGACATGTACAGGGAGATTTTTAGAGGTATCTGAGGTACAGTCTTCTACAAATACTCAGTATGGGGTCACTTCTCAGGTTGCAAATTTTGTGTCTCAGTCTCCTATTGAGATACAAATATGGTACTTGTGAAGCTTCCCAGTATGAAGGATAGAACATTCAAATCAGAATAGGATCTTATTCCTTGGGCAACTCATGCCCTCTTTCGACCTCAGTTTACTACCTCTAACAAAAGGGATACGGACTATCTTAGTGTTCTCAAACTCTAATTGTGTAGCAATCACCTGGGAATCTCATCAAATGCAGATTCAGCACCAGACACAGTGGCACATGCCTGTAGTTCCAGCTACTCGGGGGGCTGAGGTAGGAGGATCACTTGAGGCCAGGAGTTTGAGGCTGTAGTATGCCATGATTGCACCTATGAATAGCTGCTTCACTCCAGCCTGGGAAACAAAGTGAGGTACTGTTTCTTTTGAAAAAAAGGAGATTCTGATTCAGTAGTTCTGGGCTAGAGCCAGAGAATCTGCATTTGTTGCTAGGTTGCAGGTGATGTGGATGCTGCTATTCTGGAGTTCACATTTTGAATTGCATGGGACTAGATTTTCTTCAAAAGCTCTTAACCTTGATACTGGGTTTAAAAAAGGAGGAAACTAGATGCCTTGATGAATAGAATTCAGTAATCTCAGAACTCTTAATGTTTTAAAAAGTCTCCATTCATTTATTAATTTTTAAAAATATTTATTGGGCCAATATTATGTTAGGGATACTTTTCCAGAAACTAAGTACTGTACACAGTGAGAAAAAAATTGCCAAGATGCCTGCAATTTGGAAGTCCAGAGAAGGGAGACAGGCAACAAACACAAAAATAAGTGAACCTGGTAATTCAGACCGTGAGTGAGAGCTTTAGCTGAGATGTAACTCCCATGAGGGCATGGACTTTTCTCTTCTGTTCACATATCTCTTTCCATTGCCTGGAAGAACATCTGAAACATAGTAAGTGCTCAGTAAATATTTGTTGAACAAACAAATAAGTCAATTATGTTAAGTGCTGTTTATCTTAAAACAACATAAAATAGAGAAATATGATTCAGAGAGTAACAGAGTAGTGTGGGCATTTTAGCTTAGTAAGCAGAGGAGTCTTCTCTCTAGAGGTGGCATTTGAGCCAAGTATTGCATGACAAGAAGGAATTGATCAGGCGCACATCGGTTTTCCAGACAAGGAGAATGGCAAGTGCAAAGGTCCTGAAATAGGTTTGCTTGGCAAGTTCAAGACTCAGCAAGGAGACCTGCGGCTGGAGAGGCTGGTGAGGACTGGCTTCAGAGGATAAGGAAAAGAGATAGACTTAGACAGAAGCAGACAGGGATGAGATCGGAAAAGGTCTTGCCTGACATGGTCATGGATTTTATTTAAATGCCATGGAAGATCATGGAGGCTTTTTATGAAAAGCCTGGAATAATGTAATTTCTTGTTTTTAAAAAGACCAGTCTGGCTGTCCTAGAGGACGTAAGAAGGCAAAGGTAGCAGAGGCATGTCAGGAAGCTATTCCAGTTGAGGAATATCTCAGAATTCCAGCAAGAAATGACAGTGGTTGCTTAAGGATAGTCCTAGAGGAAGTAGATGTATTAAATATATAGATTCAAGGTAGATCTGGCAGGATTGACTGATGGATTAGATGTTGGCTGGGGCCAATGGGGGTGAGAGGTGAAAAGGATTACAAAGAATAATCAAGGACTCCTCCTTGCCAACCCTTTAGCTGATACGGGAATAGGTGCTCCTTTGTAAATTAACCTATTTTGGAACAGCTCAATTTGTAGGCAGACTTTTCATAAGTCGAATTTAAATTTGTCTCCCTGCAACTACATTCACTGATCTGAGGCCTAGTTTTGCAATTACACAGACCAAGTATACTGACTCTTCTTTCCAATAATCCTCCAAATGTTCAACCGTGATTGCAAACTCCTTCACACACACCATGGATTTGATGTCCTCCAAGCTCAAAGTGCTCTGTGTGTTCATGCGATCCTCTATACCAGGCATGGCTTGACTTTGCTTCTATGAGACACTGACTGAGTGGATTAGAATCTCTCCATGGTTTATCATTCCTGCTTACTGGATGAAACCAGGTCTGGAATCAGCAAAAACTGAAATCCTCAATCATTGTTTCACAAATGTTCTACACATTGGAATCACCCTATGAGTTTTTAAAAATGCTAACATCTGTGTGGCATCCCCGGCAAGTCTGATTTAGTTGATATAGGGTGCATCCCAGGCATTCAGAGTTTCATACATTCCCCAGCTGATTCTAATGGGCAACAAAGCTTGAGAACTGTTGATATTTTGATCCTTGCTATTCAAATATAGCTCATGAACCAGTAGCATTAGGAGCCCCTGGAGCTTGTTAGAAATGTATGTAGAATCTCAGCCCCCTTTCTGAACTCTGTCCTACTGAATCAGAATCTGCATTTTAACATAATCCTCAGATAGTCCTGTCCCATATTAACGTTTGAAAAGCACTTGTGTAAATTAGTGATTTTTTAAACTTTTATTTTAAGTTCAAGGGTACGTGTGGAAGTATGTTAGATAGGTAAACTTGTGCCACGGGGGCTTGTTGTACAGTTTATTTTGTCACACAGGTATTAATTCTAGTACCCATTAGTTATTTCTCTTGATCCTCTCCCTCCTCTCACCCTTTACCTTCCAGTAGGCCTCAGTATCTGTTGTCCCCTTCTATGTGCCAATGAGTTCTCATCATTCAGCTCCCTCTTATAAGTTAGAAAGTGCAGTATTTGGTTTTCTGTTCCTGTGTTAGTTTGCTAAGGATTGTCTTCCAGCTCCATTCATGTTTCTGCAAAGAAAATGATCTTGTTGTTTTTTCTGGCTACATAGAATTCCATGGTGTATACGTATCACATTTTATTTATCCAGCCTACCCTGATGGGCATTTAGGTTGTTTCTATGTCTTTGCTATTGTGAATAGTGCTGCAATGAACATACCCATGCATGTGTCTTTATTATAAAATGATTTATATTCCTTTGGGTTTTACCTAGTAACGGGATTGCTTGGTCAAATGGTAGGTCTGTTTTTAGGTCAAATGGTAGCTCTGTTTTTAGGTCTTTGAGGAATCACTACACTATTGTCCACAATAGTTTAACTAATTTAACCTGCCTACCAACATTGTATAAGCATTCCTTTTCTCTACAATCTTGGCAGCACTGGTTATTTTTGGACTTTTTGAAAACAGCCATTCTGACTGGTGTGAGATGGTATCTCATCGTGGTTTCGATTTGCATTTCTCTAGTGATCATTGATGTTAAGCTTTTTTTTCATATGCTTGTTGGCTGCATGCATGTCTTCTTCTGAAAACATACATGCAACCTACAGCATGGGAGAAACCTTAATTAGATCCCACTTGTCAATTTTTGCTTTTGTTGCAGTCACTTTTGGCATCTTTGTTATGAAATCTTTGCCTGTTGCTAAGTCTAGAATGGTTTTCTTCCAGGGTTTTTATCGTTTTGGGCTTTACATTTAAGTCTTTAATCCATCTTGAGTTAATTTTTGTGTATCGTGTAAGAAAGGGGTCCAGTTTCAATCTCCCACATATGGCTAGCCAGTTATCTCAACACCATTTATTGAATAGGGAATCCTTTCCCCATTGCTGGTTTGTGTCAGCTTTATCAAAGATCAGATGGTTGTAGGTGTGGGGCCTTATTTCTGGGCTCTCTATTCTATTCCATTTGTCTATGTGTCTATTTTTGTACAAGTACCATGCTTGGTTTTGGTTACTGTAGCCCTGTAGTATAGTTTGAAGTCAGGTAGCATGATGCCTCCAGCTTTGTTCTTTTTACTTAGGATTGCCATGGCTATTCAAACTCTTTTTTTGGTTCCTTATGAATTTTAAAAAGGCTTTTTCTAGTTCTGTGAAGAATGTCATTGGTAGTTTAATAGGAATAGCATTGAATCTATAAATTGCTTTGGGCTGTATGGCCATTTTAATAATGCTGATTCTTTCTTTCCATGAGGATGGAACGTTTTTCCATTTGTTTGTGTCATCTTTGTAAATCAGTGATTCTAAAGCTTGGCTGCACATTAAAATTGTTTGGGGGGCTTTTAAATAAATACTTATTCGTAGTTCTAACTTAAGAGATTCTGATATAAATGGTCTGAGTGTGTACGTGGGCATTAGGATTTTTAAGAATTCCCCAGATAATTTGAATGTGCAGACTAATGAGAACCATGGCTCTGTATCTTATCTCTGACAGTAATTAATCTAGTGGCTATGAGTAAGGTGCTTATTTTCTCCTAAAATTTCCTCTCTGTAAAAAACAAACATTGGTCCTGGCACAGAGGACCAAAGAAATATTAAGCATTTAGAACATTTTTTATCAGGGGAGGCTTTGTAGCTATATAATTAGGAATTTAGCCACCAAGAAGATCCTAATATTAAAAAATAAGGCTAATAAGGAGAAATGAAACCTGAGTTAATTTGCCTAGAAAAGTGAAGGGTGGAGGTTGGTTACAGTGCTTCAGTTTTCAGCAAGGTAATTTAATAGATGTTGACCAGCTCTTCTTCTTTGCCAACAGAGGTACTGCCAAGCTGAGACTGTAGCATGAGAGATGTTGTCATGACATCTGAGATTATTTCCGGATCACTGCTGAGCGAGTCACTCATGTGCTATTATCCTTGTAGCAGCCTGTGCCAGACACTGTAGGAGTGAGAAGGACTACGCTTATGACAACTAGGCTTTCCAAGGAAAATATGTTTGTGGCCCCAAATGCTGGGGGCCGTGGAATCTGAAGGGAAGGGCAGAAGTTGGTTAATATCTTTAAAGAAATGTCACCTTGAAGGATGTTGAGACTATCCTCTGAGGATCTTATGAAGGCTTTTCATAAGATCAGTGATTTTCCATCTCGATGGTCAAGCCACAGAAGGTTGCTTTCCTGGACTCACTTCTCTGGATATTACCATTTTGTCTTCTAGGTTTGAAAATCTTGTCAAAAAGCAGCTTCCCCTGTGGAGTTATAGAAAAACAATTCATGTCTGTATATACCTTTATTTACACATTTCAATATTTTATTTGCTCTGCTTGTAAATTCTGCAAATATGGTATTATTCCCTTCTGTGTGTTCACTGGCCATTAGAGAAATGCAAATCAAAACCACAATGAGATACCATCTCACGCCAGTTAGAATGGCAATCATTAAAAAGTCAGGAAACAACAGATGCCGGAGAGCATGTGGAGAAATAGGAATGCTTTTACACTGTTGGTGGGGAGTGTAAATTTGTTCAACCATTGTGGAAGACAGTGTGGCGATTCCTCAAAGATCTAGAACTAGAAATACCATTTGACCCAGCAATCCCATTACTGGGTATATAACCAAAGGATTATAAATTATTCTACTATAAAGACACATGCATACATATGTTTATTGTGACACTATTCACAATAGCAAAGACTTGGAACCAACCCAAATGTTCATCAATAATAGATTGGATAAAGAAAATGTGCCACATATACACCATGGAATACTATGCAGCCATAAAAAAGGATGAGTTCATGTCCTTTGCAGGGACATGGATGAAGCTGTAAACCATCATTCTCAGCAAACTATCACAAGAACAGAAAACCTTATGTTCTCACTCATAAGTGGGAGTTGAACAATCAGAACACATGGACATAGGGAGGGGAACATCACATACTGGGGCCTGTTGGGGGGTTGGGGGCTAGGGGAGGATAACATTAGGAGAAATACCTAATGTAGGTGACAGGTTGGTGGGTGCAGCAAACCACCATGGCACTATGTAACAAAACTGCACGTTCTGCACATGTACCCCAGAACCTAAAGTATAATTTAAAAAAAGAGAAAAAATACATGGGAAATATTGTATAATAAAAGTAATCAATTAGTCCTTGGGAAAAAAAAAGAAAATTAATGGAGGAGGTGACATATTCTGTGGACAGAGTGCTAAGTGGTGGTTTCTCAATTTGAACCCAGGTCTCTCACCTCTAATTCCAATGTACTTCTGAATTCTGAAGAACGGACCATGTTTTATTTTTGGAAGACTTATCAACATCTTTGGGATTTTAAAAAGGAGTAACCTTGGCAGAGGGGAGTAACCCTTAGATTCATTCATGATTACTCTGGCTGTGCCCCCTTAGTGATCATGGTACATGCCAACTCGGCCTTTACCACCAAGAGGTTGCCCTGAGAAGGAATAGGGTATGACTACCAAGAGGTATGTGTTTCTTTTGCAGGTTATGAAAATATTTTGGAATTAGAAAAGGGTAATAGTTGTACAACCTAGTGATTATACTAAAAGCCACTGAATTGTGTACTTTAAGTGGGCACATTTTATGGTATGTGAATTATATATCAATTACAAAAGGAGTTGGAGACTTCAAAAGTGATAGAACTAAGCAGAAGATCAACAAGGAAATAGAAAACTTGAAAAAATTATAAACCATCTAGACATAATAGATATCTATAGAACTAGTCACAATAAAATGGCAGAATATGTATTTTTCTCAAGCACAAATGTAGCATTCTCCAGTACAGACAATATGCCAGGTCACAGCGCTCAATGTGTTTAAAATGATTAATCACTCACACATGTTCTGTGACCACAGTGCAATGGAATTACAGGAGGAAATTTGAAAAATTCATAAATATATGAATACTGAACATGCAATCCTAAATGGATCAAAGAAGAAATCTCAAGGGAAATTAGAAGTACTTTGAAATGAATAAAAATAAAAACTCAACAAATTAAAATACATGGGATGTAGCTAAAGAGTGATTAGATTGAAAGTTATAGCTGTAAATGTCTATATTTTTTAAAAAACAAAAATAATAACCTAACCTCATACCATAAGACACTGGAAAAGTAAGAGCAAACCAAACCTAAAGCAACCACAAAGAAGGAAGTAGCAAAGATTAGAGTATAAATTAACAAAATAGAGATAGGAAAAAATAGAAATGGAATGAAATGAAACCAAGAGTTGATTCATTGAAAAGAGCAACAAAATTGACAAACCTTTAACTAGACTGAAGCGTTTTTGCACTGAGGATCTTTTCCTGAATCCCTGAAGTAAATTCAGCCATGTAAGCCATCAGCCTCTGTATAGAGTCACTCTGTTTTATAAATGAAACCCTAGACATATCCTAGTCCCTGCGGGAGGTGGAATATTAGATATATCTGAGCTTGTTCTTACTGGTAAGAGCAGGGGAAAGTATCTCTTGGACCCAGTTATGTTCTAAATACAAGTCATCCAATCTGAGAAAATGTACTCTGATAGGAGGTCAAATTAAAAAGCACAATTATTCCAAGGGTCAAGTGTAGAACGGAAGGATAATATTGCAGCAGAATGACATCTAAGTGGATAAACTGGCAACAAAGTAGCCAGGGGAAGTAGAGTTAGATCAGGGCCAACAGGTAGCAGCCAATGGCCAACTGCATTTGTTGATAATAAGTTTCCAGGGCTGTGGTTTGGTGAGAGTATATCCTGTGCTGTCAAAGATATGATAAGAAAATGACTTTCAAATCAAAACCTATAGACATAAATCCTGGCCCAGTACTTATTAGCAGATGACCTCGGGCAGATTATTTAATTTTTCCAAGAACTTTTTAGTTCTAAAAGGCAGATGGTAATTCCTGTCTTACAGAGTTGTTGTGATGATAAAATGAGATCAAATAAAAAGTGTCATTTACAGCATTTGGTACCAAGATGTTTAATAGCTGGTAGATACTAGTGATTTTTTTTTTGCCATCATCATTATTGTATTATTACAATAGTTTTAAGAAAATAAAAGTTCAAAGGGTAATTCAATCAGAAATTCTTTTTCACACACAACCCCACAGAAGAGATGTGATTTCCTGGCTGGCAAGAGCACAATGTACAGTTGTCAGGATCATTCGTTAGAGATCTTCCCCACAGCCCAGATGTTCACTCATATGAAATTCCCTTGGATTGTCAAGTTTTAAAATGGACTCTTCCATGTAGAGACTTTAACAGCATAGTGGAGTGAATGCAAAGTGTCAGCCTACTTAACCATGGATGTTGAGAATTAAAATTTAATTCTAAAATTCTACACTTAAACCAGTTTCCCTTATGCCAGACAAAAGGTTTTCCAGTATGCCAGGTATCAGATTTTGCCCTTGGGTATTACCTTTCCTCCTGAATTTAGAAACATACGCGCAAAGGTATGGTGCACATGCCTAATTCTTGCTTTTTGTTAGATTAAAACAGAATAATTATAAATTTATATTAAAGATAGTTATTTTCAAGAGCTTCTTTTCACAAATGGAGAAATATAGGCTTAGGTATTTTGTCCACAACCACGTAGCAGGAGTCAAGCCCTAGTCTGCTGGATTCCAAGGCCCATTCTAGTCCTCCTCTACCACCTCTGCTGCCTTATATCGACATCTGTAAATAAGACTTCTGGGCAAAAAGCCAGACTTCCAGGCAGGGTATGTTTAGTAAAATAAGCACAGTTAAAAAATCATTTATAAACAGCACTGATGGGGCATGATCATGTCTAGGAAGAATGGAGAAGTGTGCACAGAGGACATATATCTCTATATTTCATCCCTCAGTTTAACTCTTTCTCTGAAATGCACCATTTATTCATTTATCAATTTATATACTCATTCATTCAATTATTGAGCATCTGTTGCATGTTGGACATTTTGTGCTTTGTAGGGATCCAGTAGTGAGCAAGAAAGTTGACTAAATGCAGTTGTGCTCAGTTTGTGAAACCTTCTTCGATCTCTGTGATGAGAGAATTTCTCCCTCCTCTGAAGCACCTCACCACTTTTACCCCACTTTTTCTGTGGCACACAGTGCCCTTGGCAACAGCACGTTGGAAAGGGCGTACAGCCTCCTGCCACACCTCCAGGCCTCTCTGCTTTCAGAAAGCCTTCCCTGTCCACACTCCCAAATGCAGCCCTAATTTAGTCTACTATTTCCCAAAGTCCTGCAGCCCTAATGCCTGACTTCCCTGAAACCTTGGCACACACTACCTGGACTCAAAGGCTATGTGCATAGTAGTTCAACATCATGGGTTTTCCACTGGATTTGGGTTCTACTTGGCCACTTAGAAGCCATGTAATCTTTGCAAGTAAGCTAATTCCTTATCATTTCAGTTTCCTTCTTTTTACAATAGAGATCATGCCAGTACTTACCTCAGAGGGCTGTTATCCTAATAAAATGTGTTAATCACATGAAGTTCCTAGAACGGTGTATACAGTTCTTTCTCCTTCTCCAGGAATCTCCCCAGCTCCTTTTCGCACATGTAGTCAAACCCAACTAAATCTGGTGTTTAAGACCCTCTGCCACCCCACATTATCTTTTTTACTTTTCCTAAGCTCTCAGTCCTCAGTCCACTGGACTAATTCCTGCTCCTGAAACACATACTGAGCTCTCCCTTTCCTGTCTTTGCTCAGAATCCCTTCCCTTTGCTCTGCACTGCCCACCTTAGTAATCATCCAACATCCAACCTGAGTGCAACATCTCCATGCAGCTTCACCAGCTGCTGCCGTCAGATCATCATAATCAACTCTTCTTTCTCATGCTTGCCACCTCTATAATCCCATCTGCCTTCTGTTGGAACTCCTTGGGGAGATGTTGACACATTCTTCTTGATGGTGAGTTTCTCCAGGTCAGGGAATGTGTTTGTTACTGCTTGTTGAATAAAGTGAAATTAAATCCACTCTTTAACTACTTTAACTTGAAACAGCGTCATCTAACTCAGTAAAACTGAACACTTGGTTTAGGGTTAATCCTTCAATTTTGTCAATATAGTCTATTTTCTCTATGATTCCTAGGGCAATGGAGCCTGGTATAATACAGGGTTTTTCTGGTAGATTTATTCTTATGTCATTATCGTCTCCCTAACAAGATATTTATTTATGTGTCAGGGGGCAGACATTCGAGGAAAAGTTTGGCCTGGATGCCAGGAGGTTTGAAGCTTGCTTTTTAAGTCAGACAGAGACATATTGCTCGAATGCTGTCTTGAATAGTTTAAAGAATCAGCGCCTATGGTAGAGCACAGTCAAAACTCTGAATTATTCATCACCATGTCCTGAAAGGAGCAAAGATGTGAGAGAAGGTCAGGAGGAAAGTGGAAGAATCAGAAAGGAGGAGCTGGGGCTCCTGTTTGATTTGTCCATAAAGGAGAGATTGATGAGCAGCTCTCCTGATGGAGAAGATATTCTGAGGAAGTGGCAATTAGGGGCATGTGGGGACAGGTCTGAACATCAAAAAGAAACCAAGAGGATTTATCAATGTTTCAGCAATTTCACCCCAAAGTAGGTGATGGAACAACCAAGGATGCCATAGGAAGTGTGTGTATGTAAGTGTGGTGAGCACTGGGGGAAGCTCTGAATCTAAGTGAGGAATAATCAGCTTTAGGACCAGGAAAACAAAGGAAGGTTACACTAGCCAGAAAGCTAGCATCCAAAAAAAAGCTAGTTTGGACTGAGGGAAACACCAGGTGTCCCATGAAGAGTGGGACAGTCAGGTCAAAACAACACAGTGGTGGCTAGATATGCTCTCGCTTCCCTATTTACCAGGTGTCTTCTTGGCAGCAGGGGAGCAGAACTCTAAGGCTACAACTTAATTACAGGGTGATATCCACTAAGATTCTTTCCTTTCTTATCAGACTCACATTTAAGGTCCAAAATGAGAATGACAAGTGCTAAACATCTCACATTTTAAGTTTCCTAGCTATCACCAGTTGGGGCAGCCACCTTCCTGGAAGATTTCCTGAAAGACACCAGAACTAACCCAACCATCACAGGCCCTGCAATATAGCAGCTTCTCAACCAACATGGGGCTAAACAAGGAAGAGGAAACTGCATTTTGAAGGATGTTACTTTCTGCAGAAAAGTGCTCCTCTTTCTACAAGGTAGTGAAGAAGATGACTTCCAGGAGAATCTCTCCAAATGATGTGGAGAGCCTGTGAGATGGACACTGTCATTTTCTGTCCTTCTTTGCCTTATTTGCTGGTGAACTTGACTATCACCCACCCGCCATGCAGCCTACATAGCCCAAAAGAGAATTAGAAGACAGATCATGAAACTGAGTAGGGGGAGTTGAAGCAATGCAGTGAGCATTCTCACTCTCCGTCCTGATAAGAATATAAATTCCCTAAGAGCTTAGTGAAGACTGTGGAACATAGCTTGGATTTAACTGTCACTTATGAGTTCATCCAGGATGGTCACCTGCTGGGAGATTGGGCTCTGGCATCAACAGGGCAAGGGGTAGACCTTCTTTTGGTCCATAAAGGGAAGATGGATGAGCAGTTCTCCTGATGAAAAAGATATTCTGAGGATGTGGCAATTAGGGGCATGAGGGGACAGGTCTGAACATCAGAAAGAAACCAAGAGGATTTATCAGTGCTTCAGCAATTCCACCCCGAAGTAGGTGATAGGGCAACCATGGATGCCACAGGGAGTGCATGTTTGTAAGTGGTGTGAGTACTGGGGATTGATGAGTGTTTCAGCAATGCCATCCCTCTCCCTCTTGGGAGAGGACACACTGGGACAGGATCTTCTACGTCAGTGTGGTGGAAAGAACCTCTGGAAGGCTCACTCATATATGCTACCCCCACCCCTCTGGAAATTCACCCAAAGAACCTCAATGGCCATTAGCATGAGAAGTAGCAATGGCCAAAAAAGAAGGATTATAATGTTTCCAATCAAGTAAGAGAAAGATACTGGACCTTGCTCTGTCCAACCGTCATTGCTCAGGATCTGCCACATCTGAGAGACTGCTGCCTGGAAGAGGGAGAGGGATGTCAGGCTGTCCAAAAGGCAGGCCAACCTCCTCACTGCCCTCCCCAGCACCCACTCTGCACTGCAAGCTGGAGTTCTATCCTGTATTGGCAAAGGAGAAAAGAAGAGCTTTGATCAAGAATGAGCTCATAATATTTAAATGAAGCCTGTATGCCAGAAGTTTGTGTACCAGAATAAGACTCCCCTAATAACTTTTAAGTGACCAAAAAGTCAAGGCATCAGACCAAAATGCCACATCAAGGGAGGTATTACCCATTAGGAAAGGGGAGTGACACAGCACAGTTGGGAAACAGGTTTTGGAGTAACATAAAGCCATTTCATGTTCATAGCCATTGAGCTTAGACACACCAATAAACATCAAAATCACATTTCGAAACTAGTATAAAGTTAAATGTAAACTTTGAGAAAAGTGACACCGAATGATGATTCACTTAGCTTGGATTTTTAGCAAATTGTACAGAGTGAAGTTTGTTTAAGAGAAATTTTCTTGTTTTGAAAGCCTGATGTATTAGAATAGCAAATAATTGAAGAGGGAATTTGAGCTGAGGAACTGGGGCTGTAGCTGTATGCTTCATCATATTTTCCATTAAAAATCACAATTTGCAGTCAATTACTACCACAGAGAGAAACATTGGAGAAATGCTTAACGTGTAGGCTTAAACCAAAATTCAATGATTTTCCATAAATAATAATTTGACTCTCTGCCATCGGCTTGGAGCAATTTGTTGCCACTCCTTCTCACTTTCTCTTTGCAGATGCTGCTGAGTCTGAATATCCTTGTTAAATGCTGGGATTCTTAATTAAAAGAACCTGGGTCCATTATATCTTCAGGGCAGTATTTGTATCAGATAGAGGCTTATGAAGGATGGTTCAAATGGATAAGCCAAGGTTTGACTTCCAGGAAAGAGAAAATTAACTTTTGAAACCCACAGGGAGGACCAACAGGTAATCCCTGTATTGTGGTCAGTAAATACAGGTATTCAGTAAATACAGGTATTCTTCTTTGCCCATTTCAACACTCTCCAGATTCTGGAAAAAATTTCCCTTCCTCTTAAGAACCTTAGCAACTCCTCCAGGTGGTGCAGAAACTGGTTAGAGAGAGGAAAAGGGAGAAGACAAAGGGAACAATCAATGCCCCTATTCTAGGAATCGATGTTCTAGATCCCCAAAGCAGAGGGGAGGCAAAAGAAATCATAACTAAGGTATAGAACCAGAGATTTTAAATTTGAAAGAGACAAATAGGTGTGTCTGAGGAGCTCCTGTTATTGAAGCCAACTGTTACTGTGGTAACACACAGAACTTGCTTTGAGCACTTTGTATATGTGTACTATCATGCATTTACATGCACCTACACACAGAGACACGGCGACACACGTAGATATGCTTCTAGCACACAACCTAAGTGTGGCACTGTCATTACAAACAATAGGCACCTGGCCTCCTTTCTCTTTGCTCTAATAAGAGATGGCTTTTGTAATCAGGAAAACGATCAAAATGCCCAGTCCAAAGAACCAATAGAGACAAGTGAACTGAAATAATAACTTCGCCTCTTGACTTTGTGTGTTAATTGGTGATTCTTTCTTCTGAACTCCCCTTTTGCTCACAGGCTGTTGTGATGCTAAACGATGTTGCAATGTGAACAGCTAATGTGCACCTTTGCTGGTAGCTGTCTTTCCCACATATGCCTTGATTTTAGTGACTGAATGTTAGCAATTGCTGTTACACATCTGGACTGATTGATGAGTGAGGCAGCCTTACATGTCTATGGAAACTGTAAAAACAAATTGATCAGGCCTTTCTACTTTATCTTCCCTGAAGATCTCATTTTTATACTCAGATTTATTCTATTTGACAACAGTCATTAGAGATACCTTTGTGTACATTTTAATGAGACTGATACTATTCTGGAGGTGGAAGACTGGTTTGGACTTGTGGTTGTTAAGGTGCAGAGTTTTCTAACTAAAAGATGAGAAATGAGCTCCAGAAGCTAATAACATGAATATGGTTCCTCTCAGAGATTGTTTTGACATATTTCTGTTAAAATCTGAATTCCTAAGTTGATTTTAATTAACCAGAATAGCTCAGATGAGTGGTCACATTTTAACTCTAAAGTGGCCGAATCCCCAGAGTGGCAGATTTTGCAATCTCAATTTCATCGCTGATCCTTAGTCCTTAAATAGAAAATTCCGTAAGTCAGGGACAGCTTGTCATCTGTTTATTATATCTCTTGCACTTCGTATTGTGCCTTGATATAGAAAGTGATTAATAAATATATGCTGAGTAAATTAAAAGTTGATTGAGTAAATGTTATGTTTTGCATATCTTTTTGAAGTATTCAATTTAGTAAGTTTACTTAAGTACGTTTTTTTCCACTTATTTTTAAAATATAACACAGTTATGTCCTTTTTTTCACCTAGCACTGTTATGTGTGTGTGTGTGTGTGTTTTGTTTTTTTGTTTTTTTTTTTGAGACGAAGTCTCTCTGTTGCCAGGCTGGAGTGCAGTGGCGCGACCTCAGCTCACTGCAACCTCTGCCTCCCCAGTTCAAGCGATTCTCCTGTCTCAGCCTCCTGAGTAGCTGGGACTATAGGTGCTCTCCACCACGCCCAGCTAATTTTTGTATTTTTAGTAGAGACGAGGTTTCACCATTTTGGCCAGGATGGTCTCAATCTCCTGACCTCGTGATCTGCCCGCCTCGACCTCCCAAAGTGCTGGGATTACAGGTGTGAGCCACCGCGCCTGGCCTGCTGTATTTTAATAAAACATGTTTTGCTTAGTATGAGGATATGGTGGAAAGAGCATTAGATATAAATCCAGGAGAGCTGAGCTCCTGTCCTACTCTGCTAACAACTAATTAGACATTTGGTAAAAAGATTGCCTTTGGTTTTCATATTAAAAATGAACAATGGTAGAAAGTTAAGAAAAAACTGCCCCATTTTGTTCTGGTCTATAGATAGAATATATTTACCTCAGCTCTCTTCTCTGCTTTAGTTTATAAAATGTCTACATAATTTTTTTTAATATGAAGAGAAAGTGGTGTTTTTTGAATGATTCGATCTGTAATTACAACCTTAGTTCTATTTTGGGTATTCTAGTAGAGACAGAAAGTATGAAAGGGATATATTAACTCTCATTCATTTAGCTCTCTGCCATTTACAAGCTGTGTGATCTCAAGTAAGTCATTTTCTTTTAATTCTGGACTTCAGCTTCTCCGTCTGCAAATTGGAAGATGCGACCAAGTGAATTCTCAATGTTTTTTCAGCTGTATCCTCTGCTGATTCTTGATTCTTCAAATCCCCAGTGATTTGCCACTGGTATTCTTGTTCTCATCCCATTATTCATGTATTCAGCAAATATGACTGAGAATCTATTGGTACAAGCACTGTGCCATGTTCTAGAAAAGAACCAAAAATGATATGGTTCCTGACCCATTAAAGTTGTCTTTTCTTTATTTTCCCTTTTCTGAATTTTCCCTGAGAACACTTGGTATACATTAGGAGATGTACAAAGGAATATAAATAAGAAGGAGGAAGGACTCAAATTCACTTGTAGGAGAAATATTGTGAATAAGTGAATACAGTCCAGCAATGAGAGGAGGGTTGGAGGGGAAACAGAGTCAACATGGAGTTCACGTTATGACAGGATTATGAATTGCTATTTTCCTTTTCTTTTAAAAGTTTTTAAAAAATGTATACTTCCTTTTTTGTGGTAAAGTCTTGCTCTTTCACCCAGGCTGGAGTGCAGTGGTGACATCTTGGCTCACTGCAACCTCTGCCTCCTGGGTTCAAGTGATTCTCCTGCCTCAGCCTCCTGAGTAGCTGGGATTCAGGTGTGCGCCATCATGCCTGACTAATTTTTGTATCTATCTATCTATCTATCTATCTATCTATCTATCTATCTATCTATATTTTTTTTTAGTAGAGATGGGGTTTCACCATGTTGTCCAGGCGGGTCTTGAACTCCTGACCTCAGGTGATCCACCTGCTTTGGTCTCTCAAAGTGATGGGATTACAGGTGTGAGCCACTGTGCCCAGCCACTATTTTCTTTTGTTATCTTTTCTGATATATCCATAATTTTAAAAAATTTTCACTCTTCAATTTATTAAGAATTTATATTGGAAAATGGTCTCACATTAAGCAAAATTAATTTACATCCCAATTGTTACTCAGCCACAATAATTTGATAAATCTGTCTCTCACTGATTTATGATGCTATCCTAATTCCGTAGAAAGTTTTATTTGAGGAAATGAACTTCTGCTAGAATATGTATACTTCTCCATCAGGATCTACAGATTAGTCCTATAATGCAATCATTTCAACTTTTTAATATATCTTAATATATTTGGGGATGATTTCTTCCCCGTTTCTTTCAAAATATATATTGTAGATGAATTTTACAACTTTTAAAATAACAAATAAGAAAAATACTATTGATATTTTGGTTGGGCTTGATTTACTAACTATGGAGAATTGATACCCTTGTGATATTTAACTTTCTTTTAGGAACATAGTACATTTGTTCATTTGTTCAAGTCTTCTTTTATAACTTCCAGTAGTAATTTGTACTTTATTTAGGTCATGCTTTGTTCTCTTTAGATTTATTTGTGAATATTCTCTTATTTTACTGCAAAGAAAAGCAAAAGTGTGTTTCAGACAGTTTGACAGGGAATAAAGTTTTGTAAATGTTTCAATTGGAGAAAATAAAAGTATTTATCAAGGAATACATTGAATATTTTGAAAATATTGCCCAATTTATTTAGTCTTAAATCATTTAATATTTTGACATTTCTATTTATCGAAATTTTTTTACTGTCTGAATTACATATATTCTGAGCAAGAAAAAAAATCACTTGACATTTTAAGATGTGTTAGTAAATAACACTGTAGAAATGGGGACTATGTAAATGGTCTCTGCCTTTTCTTTTTTTTGAGACAGAGTCTCGCTCTTTCCTCCAGGCCAGACTGAGGTGGCGCTATCTCGGTTCACTGCAAGCTCCGCCTTCCGGGTTCACCCCATTCTCCTGCCTCAGCCTCCCGAGTAGCTGGGACTACAGGCGCCCGCCACCGTGCCCGGCTAGTTTTTTGTATTTTTAGTAGGGATGGGGTTTCACCGTGTTAGCCAAGATGGTCTCGATATCCTGACCTCGTGATCCGCCTGCCTCGGCCTCCCAAAGTTCTGGGATTACAGGCGTGAGCCACGGCGCCCGGCGTGGTCTCTGCCTTTTCATACTGAAAGGCCAGTGCTTTGATTATGCCCCAACTGATTTTAATTAAACAACTCAATTAATAACTGAGAATAACTGAGTAACAAGGTGTTTTTTTAATGGCTAGATAATAATAATGTTAACTCCTAATCACAGGACACTTCCTATGTACTGGGATGAGCACTTCACATACATTGTGTCTTTTAATTCTCACAATACCTTAATGAGGTAAATGTTAAGGCCTCTTTTTTACTGATGAGCACCCTGCCCAAATCATGAGTTCCAACTTGCTTCTCCCCATCCCCTTCACCTGTGCTTGGATCTACTGCAGATACTACATCCCTTTAAATAGAAAACTAATCAAATAGTCAAAAAACTCGGAAGCATCTGCAAGGACACTAGAAAATTCGTCTAGAATTTGGTCTCTTCATAAAGAGGAACTGTCAGTTCTTTTCTAGACAAGAGTTATAAAAAACATCAATAGCTTTTGCAACTCATTTATACCATATTTTTTTAAATTATACTTTAAGTTTTAGGGTACATGTGCACAATGTGCAGGTTTGTTACATATGTATACATGTGCCATGCTGGTGTGTTGCACCCATTAACTCATCATTTACATTAGGTATATCTCCTAATGCTATCCCTCCTCCCTCCCCCCACCCCATGATAGGCCCCAGTGTGTGATGATCCCCTTCCTGTGTCCAAGTGTTCTCATTGTTCAGTTCCCACCTATGAGTGAGAACATGAGGTGTTTGGTTTTTTGTCCTTGTGATAGTTTGCTGAGAATGATGGTTTCTGGCTTCATCCGTGTCCCTACAAAGGACATGAACTCATTCTTTTTTATGGCTGCATAGTATTCCATGGTGTATATGTGCCACATTTTCTTAATTCAGTCTACCATTGATGGACATTTGGGTTGGGTCCAAGTCTTTGCTATTGTGCATAGTGCCGCAATAAACATACGTGTGCATGTGTCTTTATAGCAGTATGATTTATAATCCTTTGGGTGTATACCCAGTAATGGGTTTGCTGGGTCAAATGGTATTTCTAGTTCTAGATCCTTAAGGAATCGCCACACTGTCTTTCACAATGGTTGAACTAGTTTACAGTCTCACCAAGAGTGTAAAAGTGTTCCTATTTCTCCACATCCTCTCCAGCACCTGATGTTTCCTGACTTGTTAATGATCACCATTCTAACTGGTGTGAGATGGTATCTCATTGTGGTTTTGATTTGCATTTCTCTGATGGCTAGTGATGATGAGCATTTTTTCATGTGTCTTTTGGCTGCATAAATGTCTTCTTTTGAGCAGTGTCTGTTCATATCCTTTGCCCACTTTTTGATGGGGTTGTTTTTTTCTTGTAAATTTGTTTGAGTTCTTTGTAGATTTTGGATATTAGCCCTTTGTCAGATGAGTAGATTGCAAAAATGTTCTTCCTTCTGTAGGTTGCCTGTTCACTCTGATGGTAGTTTCTTTTGCTGTGCAGAAGTGTGGGAAGAGCTGTTTCTGTTAATTTTTAAAATTCTTTTAAAAATATGGTATAAATATAGGTTTTATATCACATCACAGATGCATGCATGCACACTCACATTCACACACACTCAGACACTCACTCATACACTTACACATGCACATGCTACGTATCAACTGTATAAAGAATCTTGTTACTTTCAAGTTCAGAAGAATAAAATATTTGTACTTATTTTATGTAAAATTAAAATAATTTTTAAACTTTCAGCTGTCTAAAACCAGCAGATTAAGTTGATTTATTAAGAATATTTCTTCAAAACAACATTTAAACATTTTGTTTTGAGTTGACACATAATTGCCAGTGTGTTAGATAGCTAAGTGGTCTAAGGCAGGGGTCCCCAACCGGGGACCATGGACCAGTACTGATCCCAGGCCTGTTAGGAAGCAGGCCGCACTGCAGGAGGTGAATGGCAGGCCAGGGAGCAAAGCTTCATCTGTATTTACAGCTGCTCCTCATCTCTGGCATTACTGCTGAGCTCTGCCTCCTATCAGATCAGCCACAGCATTAGATTCTCCTAGAAGTGCAAACCCTATTGTGAACTGCGCATGCAAGGGATCTAGGTTGTGTGCTCCTAGGTTGTGTATGAAGATCTGTCACTGTCTCCCATCACCCCCATATGGGATCGTCTAGTTGCAGGAAAACAAGCTCAGGGTTCCCACTGATTCTACATTATGGTGAGTGTGTAATAATAATAGAAATAAAGTGCACAATAAATGTAATGCACTTGAATCATCTCAAAACCATCTCCACCATCCCTCCTCCATCACTGTCTGTGGAAAAATTTTCTTCCACGAAACTAGTCCCTGGTGCCAAAAAGGGGAAAAACATAATTTTTTAACATTTTTTTGAAGACCTCAGAAGAATCCAAAGCCTTTTACAAAGAGTATGAGTGTAACTCACATAAATATTCCACTAATGCACAACAAAGAGTGCTTAGTTTAGGAAAAATGATGATTATCATCCACGTGAGTGAATGCTGCGCTGCAGTATTACAATCTTACAAAAAAGAGAAAGTGGCCAGGTGCGGTGGCTCACGCCTGTAATCCCAGCACTTTGGGAGGCCGAGGCTGGTTGATTAGTTGAGGTCAGGAGTTCAAGACCAGCCTTGCCAACATGGTGAAACCCTGTCTCTAATAAAAATACAAAAATTAGCTGGGCATGGTGGCGTGTGCCTGTATTCCCAGCTAGTCGGGAGGCTGAGGCAGGAGAATCGCTTGAACCCAGGAGGCAGAGGTTGCAGTGAGCTGAGATCACGCCATTGCACTCCAGCCTGGGCACCAGAGAGAAACTCTGTCTCAAAAATAAATAAAGAAAGTACATTTGTGCATTTACTTACTAGTGTACCACAGAGATACTGGGTTTGATTGTGATTACCTCTCAACCTTCCCTGCTCGACTTATATTTCAGAAATACAGTTTCAAGTCCCTGTGCTTCGATCGTGGAACTTACTGCATGATGTTGTAGTCTTCTGTCCATTATGGGCAACACTGAAGACACACAGATATGTGTTTGTATCTGAAGCCCCAGTGGCCAGCAGAGGTCCTGTTTCATAATAGATATAAACAAATGTCTTATCATTTATGTGTAGCTAGATAAATGGATATAAATAGATAATATAGCTATTCAGCTGAAATCATTTTATTTACTAAATGTTAACATGTTCAGTAAGATTTTTCCAAAATATAGTAGTGCCTCAGAAATTACAAAGTGTTAGAACTGCTGAGATCTTAAAAGAATAGAAAGAGACTAAGTCGATCAAGTATTTTCAGCTGGAAAAAGTTGGTCAACCAATTTATCACTTGGAATGGGAAGAAGTATTCGGAGGTTTTTCCTACATGAAACATTGAGGGGTCTCCTTCTGATGGAAGGGAGAAATCACTCCAAGGAGTGCTTTTGTTCTTTGGCAGCAGTAAAGCAAACAACTAAAACCTAAAATATATAAGCACCTGTTTCAGAAAAAATATGTGCTTGAGATACTAAATGAGATGTTAAATACGTACATATATGCATAACATATACATATATTTTTAATATATATACACATGTATATATGCGTATATAAAAATACATACACACCAGCTTCCTCTTCAAGAAGAGTACTATTTTGAATCAGTAAATTGCTTTGCTAGCTGGAATTGCTAGGCCAAGAATACCAACTTCAAATCAGATTGCATTTTTACTTCACGCTATATTTTCTTTCTCCCTAAAACTCGATATCCGGAAGCAGAAAAAAAATAAGCCTCTTTCTTTTGACATTTTGCATTTTTATAAAAGAAAGATACATAGTTTATGAACCAGTACTTAAGCATATAACCATAAGGTTCTTAAGCAATGGCTAGGATAAAATAATGAATACAAACCCATAAATTGAATCAGTTGGTACAAATAAATCAGCACTACCATGACTTTTTGTCTGCAGGTCTCTGGTTTTGGAGCAAGAAATATTTCTGTGTTACTGGTAGGGAAGCTGAACACACTAACTTGTTTTTCTTCCTGTTGTCTTAAACTTTATTCACATAGTAATTTATAAACATTTTCCTAAAACACCAAAGTAGCATCATTTTCTAAAAATAAAGGTCGATAATTGTGACTGAGACTAATATTTGTGCACTCTAGAGTCATTCTTCCCCCTTTTTCTTATTAATAGCGCTCCATGGGGGAAATCCCTTACAGATGGGGCAGTTACACAGCTGTTGTCTTTTTGACAGAAGCAAAAGTTGTTGGGTGCAGCTTCCAGGAAAGCTGAGAAAGGCCAACTCAGCGGGTGTGTACCCGCTTCCCTCTGCTTCTCCCTTTCTTCCAGCCCAGGGCACAAGTCACATCCAGAACAGCCATAGCTCCCTCAACATGGACTGTAAGGACAAAGCAAGGAGAAACAATCCAAACCAACTGAAACCAATTCTAACTACAGTTTACTCCCAGACTTTGTATTTTTATGAGGAAAAACGAGCAGAAAGGTACTTTACCTCTACTTGCCTGGTATCTGTTGCTCACAGCGAATGCAACTCCTCAATGATAACATTTGTCTTCAGATAAAAATACTGTATCTTCAGAAATCTGTAAGAAGACTGAGTTCTGGAAACCAACAGTAAACAAGCCAGTATATTTTGGTCTTCTTGTCATCAAATTTATAGTAGAAACACTTTTATTATAAAGTCATTAGACTCTTTACAAAAGTGAGTCCTCAGTATTGATTTATTTTTCCTTTGCTCCTGGATTGACCTATAGCTGAAAAAATGGATATTTCTGAAGTGGCAACACTTTCACCAACACAAGCTGTTTGTGGAGACAGTGAATGTAAGAGCCCCTGTGGTCTGTAGTATCCACATAGAGCACTGGGACATACTCACCTACCTCTGCATCTCTCCCTTTATCCACTCCCATAGTTGTGTAGTGCTCCCTTTGCCCTTGCCACACTGCCTTGTAATAATTGATTCTCATTATTTTGCCCTCACTAATCTGTGAGTTCACTGAGAGAAGAAAGGCTGCTTTATTGATCTGTATATTCTGAATGCCCATCATAGCACATAGCCCATAGATGGTGCCCACCAAATGCACATTGGATGAATGAATGTGTGAATTAAGATTATCACCAGGACACACTGGCCCTCTCTCTGTGGGACTGAGACCCAGCATCAGGAAAGGACAAATATCACCACTCTGCTTTAGGGTATTCTCTGACGGTGATTAGTTTCCAGGTATGGTAGTAAAGGGCTGCTGGGCTCTGGTTTACTAGCCTGAGGTCGTGGGTCTGATCTCTGTTCACTGCAGAGCCACTGAACTGGAAAGAGCATTGCTGTAAGCTGAAGCAGGATGTAATTTGTCATGTCCTTTCTGAATCTTTTCTAAGGAAGTACCATTGACCAAAGAGACTCTTGTTTGGAAGGCAGTGTGACATGGTGGAAAGATCATAGGGTGCGCAGCCACAGAGACAGCAGCTTACCTCCAAGATATATTATTTAACACTTAACCTTTCCAAGTATCTGTTTTCCTCTTTCCAAATAGGGATTATGTCTTCCACATAGGGCGGATGTAACGACTAAAGGAAGTGACATGTATAAAGCACATGCCTGCCCCATAGCAGCTCCTCAGTAAAGTTAATTGCAATGCTGTATTATGCAATGTGTCATACTGATGTTATGTGAAACATAATGTCAGCGTTTTTCAGGGACACTTCTAGGTTGCATGATGAGGAAAGATTGCACTTTAGGCTGAAATACCTCTGGAACATGACTTCCTTTCTAATATACATTGATCAAGGAACTTCCTGTTCTCTGAGGCTATCTCAACTGCTCAAACCAGCGCCTGCTTTTCCCAGAGGGTGGCGCCAGGAGCAGACTGACCCAGCATCTAACATAAAAGAACTTTCCCTCTTTTGCACACCAAAGGAATCTAGGGAAGAAACTAGGCACTATTGTTTTCACAAACCTTTTCCTTGCCATGCTTCTTTCTCTCCCCTTGTATGCTATTTTAAGAGACAGTGAATCAAATTATTTTAGCAAGAATAAGCTTTCATCCTGACATTCAAAAAGATTGATGTTCGTATTAATTATGGACCAACTCTGTCTCTCTCTACCAGCAGCTCTTTTATTTTATTTTTATTTCCTGCTGCAAACATCTTTATTCATTTTAAAGTCACCTTCTCATCAGCTTTCTAGTTCTAGAATGTTTCTGGATATAGCACCTTTTGGAAGCTTTAATAACCACTATTTAAGTTTTCGATGACTTTTTCAATTCAGATGTAATGACAATGCCTTTTCACATCTCTGCTGTCATGTAACCTGCCACTTAAGTCCACAAAGTTTGGACAAGTATGTTTGTAAATATGTAGCTATTTGTCTGTTTATCTGTTGAGAAAATGCCTTCATAAGTCCCATTATGTAAAATGAAAGTCCGAGGTCTCTGCAGACTCCCTCTCTTTGCTCCCCTTCTCCCCTTCCCTGTGCTCCGGGCAGCAGCACTTGTGGGTCTGAAACTTGCTGCCTTCTTCTGGGTGTCTGTGGCCTTGCATAGGTGTTCTGTCTGCCTGTAATAACCTCGATGGATTGTTCCTCTTGCTTTTCTCACTTTTCTTCCTCCTACCATACTTGACTCTTCCTCTCCATTTCCACTCAAACCATTATACTGAGTAATTCCTATGTCTGCTCTGATAATCATTCCAAACCTTGACCTCATTGGTCCCAGTTGCACTTTCTGTCCACCCAACTTCAGTTACATACTCTCAGGCTTTGCCTTACCTAGGAACCATTCAGCTTTAAGATCTTATATTTAAATCTGCTATTCTCTATCTAGAATCTTCTCTTCCTTTTCTGGTGCCTTATCCATGACTGACTAACTGAATTCTATACTCTTGTCGAGATCCTCAGTCTGAAAAACTCCCATTCATGTACTTTATCTCTCAGCCTCCTCTTTTCGTTTCTTTCTGTGTCCAGCTTATGCAAAAGGGTCTTTCATTTCAATCACCCTTACTAACAGCCTCAGATTTTCTTCTTATTTTCTGCCACATTGACTTGAAAAATCACTATTACAGGCTGGGCGCGGTGGCTCACGCCTGTAATCCCAGCAGTTTGGGAGGCCGAGGAGGGTGGATCACCTGAAGGCAGGAGTTCGAGACCAGCCCGGCCAACATGGTGAAACCCCGTCTCTACTACAAATACAAAAAATTAGCCGGGCGTGGTGCCAGGCGCCTGTAATCCCAGCTACTCCAGTGGCTGATGCTGAGGCTTGAACCCAGGAGGCGGAGGTTGCAGAGAGCTGAGGTCATGCCACTGCACTCCAGCCTGGACAACAAGAGTGGAACTTCGTCCAAAAAAAAAGGAAAAAGAAAAATCACTATTATGAAGCAGCCCAGTGGTCCAACTTCTTTGTATTAGCTTAGGTTCCTGAACATTGCTGAACCAAAGGATGCATCTATGGAGTTTCATGCTATATATACTCCAGGTAACCAACATGAACTAGAAACTCAGCAAACTTATATGCTGCTAGTTAGCCTCCTCCCCATTTTTTAAACACAGTCTATTTTAAAATTGCCCACTTTTCATACATTATTTCTCTTCCAAGATTATTAGCAGATGGCCTCATTTCTTATTAGACACACACATACAGACACACAAATAAGAAAAAAAGGGGTACTAAGCAGGAACTCTTTCAACTGTCGTCCATCATACATACAAGCATGCTTTCTGGATACAGTGGAAAAGATGTCCTTCCTTCAGGGTTAACCTGTGATGTGGGTTTCAGCTACCTCTTGCCTTTCTCTCTCTTCACCCCCCACCCCCCTGCTCCCCATTCCCCACATGCATATGCACATTCCTTACAAATCACTATGTAAATTATTCTCCTCTTTTGCTGTAACTCTTCTCTCCCTGTCTTCTGGCTTTCTTGCAATATATTTAACCATAAGTAAATATCTTTCATCTTAAAAAAAAATCTCTACTCTTGACTCCTTGTTTCCCTTAGTTACATACAGCCTTTTTTTCTTCTCTTCACAGTTACTAGAAATTTCCAAAACAGTATGACCTGTTCTCTTCCTATTTACTATTTAAACTACTGAAATTCATCTTTTGCCCCATCACGATGCTGAAGATCTTTTCATTACTCCACCAAAGACCTCCTTCTTGCTCAAACCCATGGACACCTGCACCACTTTTCCTTTTGACTATGCTGCAACAAAGGACAAGATGAGACAGTTTCTCCAACTTGTAACACCTAGAATGATGGAGGACATCTTTACTTTTTACCCTTTCCCACTCTCCACATCTAGAAAGCAAATTCTGTCAAGTATCTTTCAAACCCATTCTACTCGTTGCTCTCCAGACCTCCTGCTGCTGCCTTGTTTAAGTGTTGAATGCCTATCATCTGTACATTTCTGTTTCTTTACAGGCTTCTTTGACTCTAGTTTTAGTCCACCACACCCCTGGCAACAAACACAATCTATTTTTCATATTATCACTAGAGAATTTCTAGTTCATCTCATTATTTCCTGCTAACAGCAAACAAACCAAAGACTTCACTATCTTCCCATTGATGCTAGCATGAAAATTGAATGCCCTAAATATAATTTACAAAAATCATATCCTTGCTTTTGTATCCAGCTTATTTCTCACCTTTGTCTTCAGCCACACCTTACTGTGCTCTGTGCTCAGTCATTCCAAATCATATGCTCCATCTTTCTCTCTCCCCAGAACCTTTGCATATGTTTTTGTTCTTTCTGGATGGAATAGCTCTTCTCCATTTCAAACTCCCTCTACTCTCCCACCTCCCAAAAGTCACACTTTATTTCTTCAACTGGTAAATTTCTCTCTAGCTTTTAGTTCTCCATTTAGATGTGACTCTCTGAGTCCTAGAACAGGCTTCGATTAATGACTCTAGTATCCTAGACTTACTTTTGGAATAGCTCTTCTCACATTGAATTGTAAATGTAAATTAGTAGATGGCAAGTTCCTTGAGCTGGGCAGAGACCATGATTTGCTTAATTCTTTATTCTTAGAGCCTAGCTTAGTGCTTGGACATAGCCTGCACAGATAAATGTTTGCTAATAGAATACATATGAGTGTAAGGGTATGAAGACTGTCTATTGAAGAAAAATAAATGTGTTTAGTGTTTATATACTTTAAAATATTTCCATGCCCATTATAACATTCAATTATCACAGTGGCCTGTGATGTATAAAAAACGTCTTAAATTTTAACGATGGCAAATTTACTGTTATCTAATACTCAATTTTCCCAGTTTCTTAATGTAATATCTGGTAAATGTTTACTCATCTCAAAGTTGGGAAGAGATTCTCCTACATTTTCTTCTGGACGCATTTCAGTAGTAGCTTTTACATTTAGGTCTTTAATCATCTCAAATTAATTGTTTTGCATAATGTTAGAGAGAGCTGGGATTTTGTTGCATGTGGTTATCAAGTTGTTGTAGTGGAAGTTTTTGAAAAGACATTCGTTTTCCAATTAAATTGCCCTGGCATCTTTATCTAAAAGTTATTTAATCATGTATATATGGGTCTCTACAGACTCTATTCTGTTCCATTGATCTATTTGTGTACCATTTTACCTATATCATGTTGTTTTGATACTGTAACTTTACAGAAAATTTAAAACCAGAGTTCGAGTCGTTTAATTCATTCTTCATTTTAAGTAGTAATGTCTTGTATAAATGCTTTGCATTTCTGTAGAAATTATAGAATACATAAGGCATCTCCCTTATCTGCAGTTTCACTTTCCACAGTTTCAGTTATCTACAGTCAACCTCAGTCCCAAAATATTAAATGGAAAAATCCCAATAATAAACAATTCTTAGTTTGAGGTTTTACATTTAAATCTTCAATTCATTTTCAGTTAATTTTAATTTTTACATATGATGAAAGATAAAGTTCAGTTTAATTCTGCATATGGATAGCCAATTATCCCAGCACCATTTATTGAATAAGGAGTCTTTTCCTCATTGTTTGCTTTTGTCAGCTTCGTCAAAGATAAGATGGTTATAGGTGTGTGGCTACATACACATGCACTCATATGTTCATCACCATACTATTCACAAAAGTTAAAACATGGAATCAATCTAAGTGCCCGTCAGTGGTGAATTGGATAAAGAAAATGTGGTATGTGTATGTGTGTACATATATATGTGTATGTATATATATATATACACATACATACACACACACACACACACACACACACACACACACACACACACCCCATGGAATACTACCTAGCCATTAAAAAGAATGAAATAATGTCCTTTGCAACAACATGGATGCAGCTGGAGGCTGTTATCCTAAGCAAATTAACATAGGAATAGGAAATGGTCTGACTTCTATGTGGGAGCTAAACATTAAGTACACATGAATATAAAGATGAGAACAATAAAGATTGGAGACTACTAGAGAGGGGTGGGAGGGAGGGGGTTGTGAATTGAAAAATTACCTATTGGGTACTATGCTCACCACGTGGGTGATGGTATCCGTACCCCAAACCCATCACACAATAAAACCATGTAACAAACCTGCACATGTACCCCTTGTATTTAAAATAAAATTAAAATTATTAAAAAACAAAGAATCATAAGTGTTAAATTGTACATTGTTCCCAATAGTGTGATGAAATCTCATGCCATCTTTCTGTGCCCCTTTATCATTACAAGAAAAAAAAGGATAAGTGCAGTACAATAAGATATTTTGAAGGACCATACTCATGTAACTTTTATTACAATATATTTAGAATTGTTCTATTTTATTATTATTGTTATTAGTCTCTCGCTATGCCCAGTTCATAAATTAAACTTTATGTTACCTAAGTGATAGAAAAAAACACAGGGTATGTAGAGTTCAGTACTATCTGCGGTTTCAGGCATCCCCTGGGGGTCTTGGAACATATTCCCTGCAGAGAAGAGGAGGACTACTATAAACAATTGTAGAAAAACGCCAACTGAGATTTTGATTAGGATTGTGTTGAATTTACAGGCATCTTAATGTCTTCTAATTCGTGAAGTTGGTATATCTTCAAGTTACCTAAGTTTTTCTTCAGTTTCTTTTAGCAATAGTTCATGTTTTTAACTTAGAGGTTTTGCACATCTTTTGTTATTTTTATTCTAAGCAATGTAGCGTTTTTGATGCTATTGAAAATGATTTTTAAAATAATTCATTCTCCAATTGTTTGATGCTTAATTATAGAAATATAGTTTAAGTTTCTATTTTTTCCTAACTTTATTGGTACTAAAAGTTATTTAATTATTTTTAGAAATACTATGTTTTCTATTAATAAAGAGTTTACTACTTCTTTTCTAGTCTTTATATTTTTATGTATTTTTCTTGACTTAGAACACTGGCTAGGACATCTAATAAGAAATAGAGAGCAGACATTCTTGTCTTGTTCCTGAATGTGAGAGGGGAGTATTTAGAGTTTCACTACTAATTACGAATTTACCTGTAAGCTGTTTTTATTTTACTTAATCAGGGTGATGATGTTGCATTCTATTCTTATTTTGCAGAGAGTTGCTTTTTTTTTTTATCATGCATAGCTGATGAAAATTGCTAAATGATAGTTCTACATTATTAAAATGTATATTTCTTATTCTATAAATAGATTTAATAATGTATTCTATAAATATGATGATTTGCATTCACTGTTCTTTTAAACGTAAACCAACTCTTCATCCGTGGGATAAATCCCATTGATCATAAAGTATTATCATTTTTATACATTGCTGGATTCTATTCAGAAAAATTTGTTTAAGGATTTTTGAATGTATGTTCTTGAAGTGTATTTGATTGTAATTTTATTTTACTGTTTTTGCTACAATACTCTATTGGTTTCAGAATTATGCTGTCTTCAGAAAATGAGTTAACAATCTTTCCCTCCTCTAGTTTCAATACAGTTGATATTATTTCTTCCTTAAATATTCAATAGGGTTTAACCATGGAGAAGTTTTTATTACAAATTCAAACTTTTTAATAAATGTAATCTTATTCATGTTTTCCATTTCTTCTAAGTTATTTATTTGTTAGTTTATCTATTTTATATAAGGTATCAAATTTATTTATGATTTGTTATTGGGCATAAGATTATTCATAACAATCCCTTATTATTTTTTAAGTTCTGCAGTGGTTACAATGATGCACTCTTTCTTTCTTGCTAGTGATAACTTGTATTTTTCACTTTCATTAATTCCAATCAATTTATCAATTTTATTAATTTTTAATTAATGTTTTATCAACCTTTTCACAAAAACAAACTTTACCTTTGTATGTTATATACATATATACTGTTTTTATATTTTCAATTTTATTGATTACTGCTTCCTTTAATTCTGTCCTCCTTTCCTTAGGTTTAAATTGCTCTTTCTCTAGCTTCTTATGATTGGAAATTAAAGAATTATTTATAAATATTTTGTCTTTTCTAATATGAGCATTTAATTAATAAATTTCCCATGACATCTGGCATTACACAAATTTTGATATTTTTATTTTTGTGTCACTTAGTCCAAAATATTGTGTATTTCCACTGTGGTTTCCCTGATTCTGTAATTCATGGGTTATTTAAAAGTGTGTTATTTAATTTCCAAATATTTGGAGTTTTTAAGGTATCTTATTTTTATAAATGTCTCATTTAATGATGTATTCAGATAATACACTTAGTAAGATTTTAATTTTTGAAATGTGTAATACTTTATGATCTAGAATATGGTCTATTTTGGTGTGCACATGAAAGTATATTCCACAGTTTTTTTGTACATGGTGCTATCAAAAATGTCATTACATCAAGTCCTGTTATAATGCTGTTTAAATCTTCTATATTCACTTAGTTTATTTGTCTACTCATTTTGTTAATTACTCAGATTTATTAAGTTGTCCACTTCTGATTGTATATGTGTCTACTTCATATTTTATTTCTGTCAATTTGATTTCTTATACTCTTAGCTCAGTGTTTTCATATGCAATTATATTTGTTCTTTCTATTTTCACTATAAAATATTATTCTTTATGCCTAGAAATACTCCTTGATTTGAGGTCTGCTTTGTCTGATATTAATAAAGCCACACCAGGCTTCATGTGCCTACTTTTCACTTGGAACTCTTTCTCTTTCTTTTTAGTTTCAGCATTTCTTGAAACCCCAGAAAAACTATGCCATAGAAGTAAGAACCCCATCCTCCAAGACCAAAGCTGCCACAGGACTAATGATGAACCAAAATATACCAGCCCTCATTCCAACATCATGTTATCTCAGTTTTTTAGATTTTTTTTTTATTAAGAGTGATTCAGGGTTTACAGAGAAATTGATCAGAAAGTCCCCTATACCTCCTATCTCTCTCCACCCCTGCACAGTTTCCCATATTAACATCTTGCATTAGTGTGGTACACTTAATATAATTAATGAACCAATACTGATATATTGTTATTAACTGAAGTTAATAGTTTACATTAGAGTTCATTCTTTATTATACTTCTATGGGTTTTGACAAATGCACAACGTCTTGTATCCATCATTACAATACCATACAGAATAGTTTCACAGCCCTAAAAATGCCCTGTGCTCCACCTGTTCTTCATTCCTCCTTCCCTCCTCCTGAATCCCTGGCAACTACTGACCAGCAACTACTGACCTTTTTATTGTCTCCATAGTTTTGACTTCTCCAAAATGTCATATAGTTGAAATCATGTATTATCCAGCCTTTCAGACTGGTCTTTTTCATTTAGTAATATGTTTTTAACATCCATGTCTTTTCATGTCTCTGGTCTATAGACGTCACAACTCCTTCTCAGCTATTTCTACCTCCTTAGGAGAAATGGGAAGGCTTGGGGGTGAAAGTGGGGTTGGGCAGGGTGGTCATTTGACCTAGGGTACTTCCCTTTCCCTGGGTCTGACACCACACCCAGACAGAATTTGTCACAGGCTATCACCCTTTTTTCTGAGGGCTCACTCATCTTCCCCCAAAGTCACTTACTCTTCCCTAGTTGCCTACATCCTCCCTTCTCTCTCCCCTATGAAGAGGGTATCTAAAAGTTTCTAGCTCTCACTGGGTTTTGGAGTACTCACTTTTCTTCCATGTGATGCTACCGTGCAAATTATAAATTTCTGTACTTTTCTCCTGTTAATCTGCCTACCATCAGTTTATTTCATAGACTTAACTATCAAACCTTCAGATGGTAGAGGGAAAATCTTCCCTCTCCTACAGTATCCACCTATCTTTAGTTTTCAGGGCACAAGTTTGTTCTATGACCTAATTTTTCTGATTGATCTAAGAAGAGTTGATTTTCAGCTTATTCAGATTTTTTCCTTGTGACAATAGGAGTGATGGCTTCCGAGTTCTTTACATGTTGGACTGAAATTGAAAATCTGAGTTTGTTTTCATCAAATGCTTCTTGGCATGGGTAGTAATTTTTAAATCATATGCCAGATATTTTGGGTGATACATTCCAGAGAGTATGAATTATGCTGTTAATTTTTCTGATGCTGTTAGACTTTGAATGTAAAATTCTATATACCTTACAAAATAATCAATTAAGTGTTAGGTAAAATAACCTTAGAAAATTTGCTGCCTTATGCAACTTTTTAAAAAGCAAAATGAAACATGGTTGTGTGGAAGGAAAATAAACTCTTGAGACCCCAAACTCACTATGCCAAAGGAAAAGTTAAGGGAACTTGGAAACTGAGTTATACAAAAACAAACAAACAAACAAACAACAAAAAAATCAAACCAAAACAAAAAATCCTGTCTTTCTTTTTGCTCCTAAACAAGTAACTACAAGATAGAAGGCCACATATCTCCCCAGGTAGCCTCCTTTACTCTGACAACATAAGTTAATAGTTTATATTCCTGGTGTGGGACAAGAGGAGACTGGAAATCATCCCGCCTTTCTCTGCTATATGATCACTTTATCTTATGTAAAATGCAGATTCACCGAGCCTGAGATATTAGACATAGTCGGCTATTCCTCTTCCCACTCCTTTTCTCATGCAATGTGTGGATTCAGTGAGCACTCATCAAAACCTCAAAAGAACATTACTGTCTCTTTTGTCCTACACTCCATCTTCTTTTTTCCTCCTTCCCTTCCTACCTGCTTTTTCCCCTTTAAATGTTGAAGCCCTCAAAACTTTCTTGGGAAAAAGTGTAGGCCACAGATCCTCCTGTGGCTTGTGTCTTTTTTTTCCCAGCCACATCCTCAACCTTTGCAAAATAAGCCTCTAAATTGATTGAGACCTGTCTCAGACACTTTTTTTGGTTTACATTTGTATCTCTAATCCCTCAAATGATGTCTGCTTGTACTGGGATGTAGCAAAGAGGGAGAGTCTGTCCCAGCTCCACTGGATATCCAGTGCATTATTGATGGCTTCCACTGGGATATCATCTACTTGGTCTTTGAATGATAGCCTCTGTTATTGCTGATACAACTTGTAAAATTTGCACTTGAGTATGTGCCACAACATGCTGCTGGTGCCTGTTGCCTACTATGGTTTCTGCGTATGTTGTCTATACTCGTTTTTTTTTGTTGTTGTTTTTTTTTTTTTTTGAGACAGAGTATTGATTTGTCGCCCAGGTTGGAGTACAGTGGCGAGACCTGGGCTCACTGCAATCTCTGCCTCCTGTGTTCAAGCAATTATCCTGCCTCAGGCTCCCGAGTAGCTGGGAAAACAGGAGCGGGCCACCATGCTTGCCTAATTTTTGTATTTTTGCACAGATGGGGTTTTGCCCTGTTGGCCAGGCTGGTCTCGAACTCCTGACCTCAGGCGATATGCCAGCATTGGCCTCCCAAAGTACTGGGATTACAGGCATGTGCCACTGCCCTCAGCCAGTTGTCTATCCTCTTTACCCTCCCATTCCCATTGTCATGCACTTTTCAGTCTTTTGCCTCTTTCAACATTCCTGGGTCTTCCACTGTGTTGTGCAAGAATGTGGATTCTTGAGTCTGCATTGAGCCAATAGGCCCTGTTTTGGAGCTACCTCTTCTATCCCATTCACTAATGAGTTTTATCTACTCTCAGCAAAACAAGGATCTTGTGTATGAAAAGTCTCACAGCAAACTGTTTCTCTTGAAATAAGCTTAAGAGCCTATATTTGAAGTAAAATATGTATATATGTATTTACATATATGTAAATAAAACACTAACCCTTTTATTCTCAGCTGAGCTTATCCCACCCTCTGATGCAATAGAAATCTCAGGCTCAATAAACAGAGATCAATAGACAATTTAAATAATCATAAGTAACAACATATAGAATAATATATTTAAATATTGTCTCAGTATACTATACATGAAAATCATAATTTAAATATAGAAGAAACAGAATTGTGTCATGAAGAAAAAAGAGAATCTACTTGATCTTGAAGCCTAAAATACTCTTCTCCAAGTGGCAAGAATTTAGAAATAGCCTTACATTTTCTTCTCTAGGAATCAATCACATTGCTGAATGTATGATGCGTAATGCTGAAAAACATTATAGTATTTTAAATTACTTTGCTTTGTTTTCAATTTTATTATCCTCCTATAGATAATGATTGAATGTCTTAATAGTGGTTATGCAGCAGAATTTAAATATTACAAACTTAAGAATGTGAAAATAATATTAGAGCTAACAACAGTCAGTGAGACTAGTACTGGAGAAAGAACAGGGCATTCATCACCTCGTTTTCTGCAGTGGTGAAGGATAGTGAAGGAGAGGATGGATAAAGAAAAGCAGGTATACATATTTTTTTAAAACTGTGAGTTAATAACTGGAAGATTTAAATTAATAGCATAAAGTCGAACATTCGATAGAGGAGGGACAAGATTAAATAAACTAACATTTTTATAATTTAAACAGGGAGCCAATATTTAAACAAGGCTTATAGCTTAAGAAGCTGAGTATATACTTTGAAATTGTGAAGATTATTAAAAGATACAAACAGTTCTAAGGGAAATTAAATGGGGAGTGGGACTAGAAGTGCAAGAAAATGGGGTAAAATATTTCAAATTTTTTTATTCTTCCATATGGATTTTTTTTTTTACTATGTAATATATTGCTTTTTGTACATTTAAATATTTTAAAAATCCAATTTCCCAAAATACTTCTATATCATTCTCCATCACAGTTTTGCTATTTTTTTCATTTGGTTATTATAATATTTTATAGATAAATTTTCTTAAAAATAATTGTGAACATCTGCAAGTTTATCTCTGCAAAAACATAATCCCTACCAGATGTTTCTGGCTGGCTCTGAGCCCAGAGATATTAATGGAATTATAATGGAGAAGGTCTTGGGCAAATATATTTGTCAGGCTAACTGTGAATTTGATCTTAAATTGTACTAAAGCCTGTGATAGGGTGGCATTAAGTAAAACTGCCGTGGGACTTCAGCAGTTGATCCGAACAGCTGGCTGATTCTATTCTCTTCTGTTCTCTGCTTCAAAAGCCAAGTTTGTCCTTATATCATGTTATATAACCCAAGATTAAGATTGGTTTTGCAGAGAATTTTAAAACTCTTTATATATATTTGAATGTCAACTATCACTAAAACTGTTTATGTATATTTGAATGTCAACTATCACTTGGACTCTTGTGATCCCAATGTTTTCTTTGTTCCTATCTACTTATACCTCCATTTTTAATCTTTTTCCCACTTCGGTAGGATCAAAGAAAAGTAGAAATTAATTACTGAAAATATATTTCAATAGTCATCAAAGAAGATCAATGAGAATCAAATCGTTTCAGCATTATTTTTAAGCCGGATTTAATTCTAAAGTCTTTTAGTTTGCTCTGTAAGGTTTTGTATAGTCTGTTCTTCTTATAGAAGTTTATTATATTAAGATAAGACACTTGCATCTAGGTGGCAGTTCTAGGTTCCCCACAAGTTCCTAACTGCCTGAGAGGTGGCTGACTGAGTTGCCATCAGGTCAGGCCCGGAGCCACAGTCTTTCACAGAAGAGATTCATGTTATCTTTACTATGCAAAGCTGAATAGGGGAATAGCAGAAAGAATTTGACACTGACTCTTCTTACTTATTTCCTTATTCCTTCCCTGAAGATTATAATCTCTTTAAAAGCAGGAATAAATTCTGAGTCTTTCTTGTAGTTCTTTGTCTTGGACACAGGACAATTTCTGGAAACATTGAAGCTGAATTCATTTGTTATAACTAAAGTTCTCACTTCTTTCTTGATTGGTTTGATGTGTGTATATGTATGTGTGTATACAGACATACATGTTTTTACTGTCATAAAAAAATCCTGGACTTCCAGCTTCTACTTAGAACACAGAAAGTTGGAAAGAATATCATTCTCATAATAATAACAGGGAAAATTCAGGAAATGTAAAAATTATTAAATGTATCAACCTCAAACAGGTGAGGTTGCCAAGAAAGCCACTAACCTGAAATCTAAGGAAAGGCAGGCACTTCCAGCAGGAGATGGAACTAACCTATGCAAAGGAGGGGAGGAAGACAGACCCTCCATTTAAGTGAGAAGGAGAAAATTTCACTAACATATTTAGTGAATTGTTAAAATTTGAGAGTGGGATAATGTAAGGCCCCTGGGGACTTAGACACAAATGGAGTTCACAAGAACTTAGATGAAAAATACAGATGGTACAGCAAGAGACCCTAGAAAGCATACCTTGTAGTTTAGGCCTAGAAGACACAAATATCTTCACTAATGACCAAGCAGAACAGCCGGTCACATGTTCAGGCATAAATGCTATTTACCCAGTCTCTACTGTCCTGTACATTTGACTTCTACTAAAAATATATAGCACATTAAAAAATGAGAAAAAACCTCACCCCATTGCCAAGAGGCAAAAAAAGACTCATATATGAAGCAGATATTGGAACTATGAGATGGAGAATTAAAAATTACTATAATTAATATGCTAAAGAATCTTGTGGAAAAAGTGTAACGCATGCATGAACACATGGGGAATTTCAGAAGAGAGATGAAAAACACTTAAAAATGCTCAAATTCAAGGGCTAGAATTAAAATACAGAAACAGAAATGAAGCATGTCATTGAATAATTCATTGGCAGACTCAACAAACATAAGGGACATAAAAATTAGTGAATAGGTCAATAGAAATTACCCAGACTGAAACACAATGATAAAAGATACTGGGAAAAATAAAAACAGAACAAAGCATGTAAGTACTGTAGAATAACATCCAAGGAGCTAACATTTGTGTAATTTGAATCCTAGAAGGAAATAAAAAGATAATGAAACTTATGAATTATTTAAAGAGATAATGACTGATAATTTTCCAAAAATAGCAAAAGACATAAAATCATACATCAAGAAAGCTCAGGGAACACCAAGTGGAATAAAATGAAAACATTCTCTCACTCCCATACACACACGAACCCCAACACTCCCACACAGACATCTACATACATTGTATTCAAACCACAGAAAGTCAAAGAGAAAGGGCAATTTTTTTCATGCAGTTCGGCAAAAAAGGCATATATATATATATATATATATATATATATATGTAATATGACTGTTCATATACATAATATGACTTTGTTCATATATATGTAATATGACTTTGTTCATATATATATATATATATATATATATATAAAACAAAGGAGTAAAAATATAACAGATTTCTCATTAGAAACTGTGCATGCCAGAAGACGATGGAGTGATATCTTCAAAGGGATGGGAAAAGAAAAAAACCAACACAGAATTTTACATCCAGTGAAAGTATACTTCAGAAATTAAAACAATTTTTTTAAAAAAGGATATACTTTTTGATCAACAGACTGACACTAGAAGAAATATTTTAAAAAATTACTTGAGTGGAAGAATATGATAATACACAGGAACTTGGATCCACAAAAAGAAAGAAAGTTCTTCAGAAACAGCTAAAAAGAAAGTAAGTACAAAATACATTTTGTTCTTAGTAATTGTTTTAGAAGGGAATTGACTGTCTTAAAAGTAAAAATAGAGTATATTTGGGGTTTACTGCATATTCAAAAGTAAAATACATGATAACAACAGCACAGAAAGAAAAGAGGGAATCGTTAGGAGCATGTGGTTGTCAGGCTTATAATTATGTGAAGTGATATAATATTGTTTAAAATTACTGTAATTATTTGATAATATATATTGTAAACTTAATGACAACAACTAAAAAATATTTTAAAGAAAGTCTGGGCCGGGTGTGGTGGCTCACGTCTGTAATCCCAGCACTTTGGGAAGCCAAGGCAGGCAGATCACGAGGTGAGGAGATCGAGACCATCCTGGCTAACATGGTGAAACCTCGTCTCTACTAAAAATATTAAAAAATTAGCCGGGCATGGTGGTGGGTGCCTGTAGTCCCAGCTACTCGGGAGGCTGAGGCAGGAGAATGGTGTGAACCCAGGAGGCGGAGATTGCAGTGAGCTGAGATTGCACCACTGCACTCCAGCCTGGGCGACAGAGCAAGACTCCGTCTCAAAAAAAAAAAGAAAAAAAAAAAAAAAGGAAGTCTGAAAAATAAGCCAATATTGGAGATTAAATAGAATAATATAAAAATAGAAAACAAACATTTATTTCAAAAGAAGGCAGAGAAGGAGAAAAAAAGAACATAGAACACATGGAAAAACTATAGAAAACCTATCAATTTGGTAATTTTTATTCAGCCACATCAATTGTAACACTAAATGTGTCAAATTAAAACCATAAGATCTATAAAAGCAGAAAACATGGGCATTATTTCTTATAAAAAGTTACAACCTGCAGGTAAAGAAACCAGAGCATCTGGCCAAAACGGAAAGCAGGTGCTCCAAGGAAAAATGGGAGGGTAGGAATTTATGCTTGACATGATCAGCCAAACACACATATTGTGGGCTCTAGGAGGAGCTATGAATATGCATGGAGGGAGTCAAGTGCATGTGCGGTGAGCAAACATACATATTGCATATGACCCATGTTCATTTAGGAATGAAGACTTAACATTAAAATGTAGTAAAATTAGGCTCTATATATCAAAAGGTGAAAAACAGGTCACAAAAGCACTTTGTGTATGTCTGTAAACCAGCCAAAATGAGTTTGTGGTTGGTGGTCATTTATCAGGAAAGAGTGCTTTGTAAGACTGGTCAAATTTCATGGCGAAACCGTGATAAAGGTGGGCCACTTGGCCAGCATGTCAAATGGTTTGCCTAGATTAAGGGAGAAAACTGCACTTGTTTTTCACAAACTGGTTTCTGTTTAATTATAGGAAAGAGATCTTGAGATGGTTAGTGAGTTGGGAGAATATTGAGACGTGACTGACCTCTTGCCTTGTTGAAGCTGTCGAATCTAGTTTTTAAAGTTTTCTGGGGTCTCCTTTGCCATAAGGAGTCTGTTTCATTTTGCCTGGGGGCTGAGGGGCTTTATGTTTATTTCACAAATGCGAATGGCCTAAACATCCGATTAAAATATAGAAATTTACAGGTAGGATAAAACAAGAGCAAGACTCATCTGTACACTGCTTCAAGAAACTCATCTTAAATATGAAAACGTAGGCAGGTTAAATGAAAAAAATGAAGAGAAGTATGCTGTGCTAACACTAACTGAAAACTGGATGGAATGGCTATATTAGAATCAGGCAAAACACACTTCAGAGCAAAAAATAATATACCTGATATAAAAAGAGATATTACCGAATGATAAAGGAGTCCATTAACCAAGAAGACATAATTCTAAATGTGTATTTATCTAAAACCAGAACTCAAAGTGCATATTAACAATATTCAGACTTCTAATCTATGAACATGATGTAGCTTATCATTTATTTATGTATTCCTTATTATCTATTATCTTTTTCAGGGTTATGTAGTTATCAGGATACATTTCTATATGTATTTTGCTAGATTTATACCAAAGAATTTCATGTTTATTAGTGCTAATTTAAATAGTACTTTTTGAATTCAATTTCCAGTTGTTTATTGCTAAAATATATAAGTACTGCGGATATTTATACATTCACTTTGCACACTGCAACATTCCATTTCCCAGTTATAGTGGATTTTTGAAAATTCTTTGGGATCTTTCTATATAGATAATCAGGTCATTTGCAAATAGACAGAGTTTTATTACTTACTATGGAATCTGCATGTTTACTACTTTTTGAAACTTATTCTCCGGTTGCACTAGCTAGGACCCCCTGTAAGTTGTTCAGTAGGGGAGGCGAGAGTAGATATTAATTTCAGAGAGAAAGTAGTCTTTGGTAGATGTTTTTTATTGGACAGAGAAAGTTTCTTTCTATTCCTAGGTTGCTAAGGGATTTATATTATTAAAGGATTTTGACTCATGTCAAATGCTTTTTGTATACCTGTTAAAAGTATTATAAGGTTTTTATCATAATTTTCTTCATATGGTAATTTATATTGATTGATTTTTAAATAATGAACTAACCTAGCATTCTTGGGATAAATCCTATTTGGTCATGATACATTATCCTTTTTATATATTGCAGGCTTTGATCTACTAAAATGTTTAGAATTTTGCCTCTATTTTATGAGGGTTATTTATCTCTCATTTTCTTTTTTTATGGTGTTCTTATTTGTTTTGGATTCAGGGTAATCTTAATCTTATAAAATGAGTGGGGAAGTCTCCCTTACTCTACGTATTTTCTAGAAAAAAAAAAGTGTAGGATTGGCATTTTGTTCTTCCTTAAGTGTTTGGTAGAAGTTTTCAGTGAAGCCGTCTGAGCCTGGAGTTTCCTTTTTTGGAGGTGTTGTTTTTTAACCACAAATTCACTTATTTGAAGTTATAGAACAATTCTGATTATTTACTTAGTGAGTGAGCTTGGGGGTTTGTGCTTTCAAGGAATTTTGCTATTTTATTCAAGTTGTTCAATGTATAGACATGAAATTATTTGTAACAGTCCGTTATCATCTATCTAACGCCTGTAGCTTCTATACTAGTGCCTGTCTTTCATTTCTGATGTTGATAATGTATGTCTTCTCTCTTTTTTTCTTAGTCAATCACGTTGAAACCTGGTTCTTTGGAAAGGTCAATAAAATTGGTAAACTTTCAATTTCACTGATTTTCTTTATGGTTTTCTTGTTTTCAATTGCATTTAATTTTGCTGTCAATTTTTTCCTTCCTTGCTTGTAGTCTAATTTACTTGTATTTTTCCATTTCTTTTTTTTTTTTGGCAGTTTGAGAAATGATCTTCTTTTGTATTATTTTATTTTTTTATTATTATACGTTAAGTTTTAGGGTACATGTGCACAACCTGCAGGTTTGTTACATATGTATACACGTGCCATGTTGGTGTGCTGCACCCATTAACTCGTCATTTAACATTAGGTATATCTCCTAATACTATCCCTCCCCCATTCCCCCATCCTGTGATGTTCCCCTTCCTGTGTCCATGTGTTCTCATTGTTCAATTCCCACTCATAGGTGGGTTCTCTTTGTTCAATTCCCACCTGTGAGTGAGAACATGCGGTGTTTGGTTTTTTGTCCTTGTGATAGTTTGCTGAGAATGATGGTTTCCAGCTTCATCCATGTCCCTACAAAGGACATGAACTCATCCTTTTTTATGGCTGCATAGTATTCCATGGTATATATGTGCCACATTTTCTTAATCCAGTCTATCATTGTTGGACATGTGGGTTGGGTCCAAGTCTTTGCTATTGTGAATAGTGCCGCAGTAAACATACATGTGTATGTTCCTTTATAACAGCGTGATTTATAATCCTTTGGGTATATACCCAGTAGTGGGATGGCTGAGTCAAGTGGTATTTCTAGTTCTAGATCCCTGAGGAATCGCCACACTGACTTCCACAATGGTTGAACTAGTTTACAGTCCCACCAACAGTGTAAAAGTGTTCCTATTTCTCCACATCCTCTCCAGCACCTGTTGTTTCCTGACTTGTTAATGATCACCATTCCAACTGGTGTGAGATGGTGTCTCATTGTGGTTTTGATTTGCATTTCTCTGATGACCAGTGATGATGAGCATTTTTTCATGTGTCTTTTGGCTGCATAAATGTCTTCTTTTGAGTAGTGTCTGTTCATATCCTTCGCCCACTTGTTGATGGGATTGTTTGTTTTTTTCTTGTAAATTTGTTTGAGTTCATTGTAGATTCTGGATATTAGCCCTTTGTCAGATGAGTAGATTGCAAAAATTAGACCTAAAACCATAAAAACCCTAGAAGAAAACCTAGGCAATACCATTCAGGACATAGGCATGGGCAAGGACGTCATGTCTAAAACACCAAAAGCAATGGCAACAAAAGCCAAAATTGACAAATGGGATCTAATTAAACTAAAGAGTTTCTGCACAGCAAAAGAAACTACCCTCAGAGTGAACAGGCAACCTACAGAATGGGAGAACATTTTTGTATTTTTCCATTTCTTAAGAAACGTCTTGAAATCTTCTTTTCTACTATAAAATCAGTGATCTACATTTTCCCTGCTTTAGCTGAATCATGGAACTCTTGTCTTTATTTTTATTCAATTCTAAATATTTTATAATTTTCCTGCTATTTCCTTTTAACCTGTAGAATATTTAAAATTGTGTTTTTAAAAATATAAACTATTTAGGAATTTTCCAAAAATAGACTCGTACATATATTAAAAAGTGATATTTGACAAAGGTACAAGGGCAACTCAATGGAGAAAGGATGGTGTTTTTGACAAATGGTGCTAGAACGATTGTATATCCATATGCAAAAAAGACTTTGACCCATACTTATGCATTATATGCAAAAGTTAATTCAAAATAGATAAGTGTTCAAATGTAATACCTAAAAGTATAAAGCTTCCAGGAGAAAAAAACAGGAGAAACTCTTTGTGCCCTTGGATTGGGCAAAGATTTCTTAGGTACGGCAAAAAATATTTTTAAAAAACAATACATAAAAGAAAAAAAAAGGGAAAAACTGGATTTTTCCAAAATTAAATTTACATTCTTCAGAAGGTTTTTTTTTTTTTTTTTTTTACCCCCTTTGACAAGAAAGAAAAGTAAAAGACTGTAAGAAAACGTTTCTGAAACACATGTCTGACCATGGACTTGTATCCAGATGTGGTAAGCAGAATGCTAGGATGGTGCCCAAGGTTTTCACACTCTATTTTATAAACCCTTTATAATCCTTTTTCCTTGAGTGTTGGCAGAACATTCTAGCATGATGGGATAGTTATTCCCTTGATTAGATGACATTCTATGAGAAATGTGATCGATAGTCACTTCATTGCTAAGTATCTATCATAGAGATTGGCAAGATTCTCCTTCTAGCTTTAAAGAAATAAGCAGCCATGGTGTGAGAGGGCCACTTGACTAGGCCTCAGGGTGGTCTCTAGAAACAGAGAACAGCCCCTGGCTGACAGCCAGCAAGAAATCAGTGACCTCAGTCCTGCCTACAGGAGCAAGAAACTGAATTCTGCTAACTACTTGAATGAGCTTAGAAAAGGACCCTGAGATCCAGATGAGACCAGATAAAAATGCAACCAGCTGACACCTTGAATTCGTCTTCTAAAACCGTGTGCAGAGAACCCAGTTATGCCATGGCTGGACATCTGACATACACATCACGTGATAATAAATGAGTGTTATTTTAAGCCGCCAAGTTAGTGGCAATATACACAGCACTAGGAAATAAATATGCCAGAATATATGAATATACAAAATTCAATAATGAGAAAATAACCCAATTGAAATTTGGCAAAAAAAAAAATGCGAACAGACACTTCTCCAAGTCAAAATCATTAATTATTATGGAAATGCAAATAAAACCACAGTGAGATGCCACTACATATTCATCCGATTTGGACAAACAAACAAACAGATGAAAGATTCTCTGCCAATATCAAATGCTGGTGAGGATTCAGAACAACTGGAACTCGAATACATTAATTATAAAAATGCAAAATGATGAAGTCACTCATTTTGGCGAACAGTGGTGCAATTTCTAATAAAGTAAATGTACGTGTCATACAGCCTAGCAATTCCACTCATGGGAAATGAAAGCTCAGATTCATACAAAAACCTATACTCTACATTTTACAGTGACTTTTTTCACAATTACCAACAACTGTAAACAGCCCAGATGTCCTTCAACTGGTATGTTAGTTCTCTGTTACTGATGTAAGAAATGTTCACAATCTTACTGGCTTAAAACTGCGCAGATATTATTTTGAATATCTAGTAGATAGGTGTCTAGTAGGGGACTCACTAGGTAAAATCGAGCTGTCAGCCTGCCTGCATTCCTTTCTGGAGGCTCTAAGGGAAAATGTGTTTCTTCTTGCTCAGGTGTTGGCAAAATCTGGTTTCATGGGGATGGAAAACTGAGGTCTCTTTCCTTGCTAGCTGTCAGCTCAGTGCCAGCTTTAGGTCCTACAGGCCTCTTTCTGATTCTCACATGTGGTTCCTTACAACAGAACCAGCAACAGGGCACCAGTGACTTCTGATGCTATCATCCCCCAACTTAGGTGACTATATTCAGCCCACCAGGATAATCCAGGATTACCTTCCCATCTTAAGGTCTATAACCTTTATCACATCTGCAAAGTCCCTTTTGCCATGTAAGGTAATACATTCACAGGTTTCAGGGATTAGAACATGGACATTTTTGGGAGCTGATGAGAGTGCCTGTCACAACTGGTGAATAAATGAATAAATAATACGTAATAAATCCATACAGTGGAACACTACTCAGGAATAAAAAGAAATGCATTACAGATACACACAACATGAATAAACCTGAAAACATTCTGTTAAGTAAAGGAAGCCAGGTTCAAAAGGCTGCATTTTATACTATTCCATTTATTTGACAGTCTAGAAAAGGCAAAACTGTAGATACAGAAAACAGATCAGTGGTTGTTCGGAGCAGGGGACTGGGAAAAACTTGACTACACTGGGCACAGAGAAGTTCTTTGGGGTGTTCAAACTGTATTATATTTTGATTGTAGTAGTGGTTACACAACTATATAACAAAATATAATCAGTGTTATCAAAATATAATACTGATACTACCTAAAAGAGTGTCAAAACTCAGTACTGCACACTAAAAAGGGTGCATTTAAATGTATTCATATTATACTTTAATATACATTAATCTACTTTTTATTGAAAACATACTATATATTAAATTTACCTCAGTAATACTAAAATACATAGAAGCATAAAACCTGCCTTCACTGATACTGATAAATAAAAAGAATGAAATTTTAAAACTGCAAACTCAGGACAGTCTAGCAGACATGGCAGAGTTTATGGATAATCGTGTGAGACCTCTACAAATGTAAACGTCGCATTACATAAATGAATAGGACATCTGTATCTGGGACAACCAAGATAAGAAGCAGAGCAACCCAGCTCATTTTGAGGCCAGTATAAAATTGATTTAAAAAATAAAAATGTAAACATCACAGATAGCATGAGACAAATATCTACCATTTTATTTCACATATGTTTATATATAGTCATAAAAATTGCTACTGGATGGGAAAAAAGAATGAAAGAAACTAGAATTTATTTGGAATATAATATATTCTCTATCCAAATGTAATACCCTTCTTAAAAGCAAAACAAACTAACAGACACAACTGGGGACCAGATAGTTTCTTTAAAAACAAGCAAGCAAGGCAAAGAAATAAAAACACTTCCTGAGCATGGTGCTGATAGCTATGTTAGAAGCTGAGGATATACATATGCATGGACATAGGTTGTAACTAAGTAAGCTCAGAATCTTAATTTGAGGGTTAAACCAGGATAGTGAGGTGGGGGAACTCAGAGAGGAGGAGATTTCAGGAGAGAAGAGTGGCCAAATCATAGGGAATGCTGGGTGGGAGATTGAATAGGATTAAATTACAGCAATGAGGTCAATGGTGACTTTAAGAACAACAATTTCTGCTGACTACAGAAGGAGGGAAAGGATGAGATTAAAATGAGTTGAAGACAGAATGGTGATAAGGAAGGGGAGACAATGATTGTGAGCGATGCATTTGATAAACACACATAGAGGGGAAGAGAGAGACAGTCAATGACTGGAGATGTACGTGAGGGGTAAAGAAAGATTTATTTTCAATGGAAGATACTGCAACGTGTTTGTATGTTGATGAAGATGAGCTAGGAGAACAGATGAGATTAAGGATCTCTCTCTTTCAGGAAAGAGAAAAGAGATCTAAATGGAACAAAATTCTTGAGTGAGGAGGAAGAAATGGGGTGGAGCAAGGCACAGTAGATGGCTTGGACTGTGGTGGGAGGAGCCTTCATGCTTCACCTGAACAGAAGGAAAGGAGGAGGAGATGGAGATGCAAGCACAATTGCAGAGTTTGGGAGGAAAAATGATGGCATTTGTACTACCTAAAACTTTGCAATACACATGGCTGCTTTACATTTAAGTATCTCCTCTTTAGCCTCACCACAACCGTGTGAGAAAGGAGAGTAGTTATTATTACATTTAAATCATAAATGAAAAAACTGAGGTCAGATACAACAAATGACTTTCTCTAGATGAAAAGCTAGTAAGTGGTGATACGGGGCTTGATTTCCAATTTAGGTTTCTTTTGTCAAGGTCAGGAAAACAGTCAAACTCAATGTCACTAGACATGTCAAACCTTAATTCTTAGACCTAACATGAAGCAAAAATATTGCTGGCTTCACTCCCACTTCTGTACTCTTTCTTTTCCTAGTACTTACTGGAATGTGGAAATGGTGGAGTAAGGCTGCTTTAGGTATAGCTGGAAGAAGGCACAGCCAGGAAAACAAGAGGTATGGAAGATGGAAATTTTATCTTTAAATAGCAGTGAGTTGCCTGGATGGCACCTATCCTTGACTCCATTCATTGGGCAGATTTTAGCTTATGCAAAAGAAACCAGCCACAATCATGGGAAGAAAGGAAGAAGCGCAGTTTTGGTGTAGAGGCTGATAAGTTTAGTAATGGATATGTTGAGTGCAGAATATCCAACTGGCTGTTGAATGAATGGAGCTTAATCTCAACAGAGCTATCTGGGCTGGAGCTATAGTTTGAGAAGTCACCATATAGAGAGCATTTGTTGTAAATTAGAGGGTGGTGATAACCTGCATTTGAAAAAAAAAGTGTTTAAAAATTGCAGTGACACTTACAAACTCTTTCAGTTCACCTTTTGGAATAAAGGTCTTTCATGTCCCAGGGAGATGCTGTTGACATGGTAAATTTCTATGATAATTTTTTCTTTGCTGAGCAAGGTTAGTTGTAAGCAATTGCAGGGTTTATGTCATATCTAAATGGTATTCCTTTCAAGCACATAAATGGTCTTTACTGACAGGAAGCCATGCAAATGTTCCCCTTTTACAATTTACTGAAATTGCTTGTTATTTTTAGAGGGAGTCAGGCATTAGTGAACTCAGTGCTGAAAACAAGTCTTTCATAAGCTGACAGCTTAAAATTCAACATAAATTGTACCATTTCTAATACCAATAATTCCAGCAGATTTTATATTGTGCTTTATAATTTTCAATAACATTTTTAAAATGTGCCCTGAATAGTCCTGAGTGATACTAGGGCAGCCATCATCCCATTTTTATAGATGGATAAACTGAGGCACTGGAGGGTGAAGTGACTTGCTCAGGGTCCCAGAGAAACTAACAGAGTTCAGGTCATGTGACTCTTATCAGTTACATGTTTAACATATATTATCTGTTTCTCCTTTACAATTCTCTTGCAGCGTAACTACAATAATCACCATGTTACAGATAAGGAAACTGAAACTATGAAAATTTCAGTAATATATCCAAGATCACACAGTTGCAAATGGATTTGGAGTTCAATCTCAGGTTTTATGTCTGTAAAGACAGTGTTTGTTTTCCTGCCTTGTCCTGGAAACGTTATTCCCCAGACTTGGTCCTTTATGTATGTGTTTCTCCTTCTCCCATATATACTGCCCAGACATTTTCAAGAGGAGAGCTTGTCCTTAGGGTAAGGAAGGCAGGACTTCTCACTGGCTCTGTTTTTTTTCTTCTCAGTCACTTTTCAACATCTCCTTTTACCTCCCAAGAGTGCTTCAGATATACCTTCTCTCTTTCCTCCTAACTCGTAGAGGACCTGGCTTTGTGAGCCCTTGAAAAATTCCATACGAACTCCTCCTGACCAGTGGATCAGGGAATAAGCTATTTGCTGTAACAGGAGGTTTCTTATTTGGATAGTTTCTTGAGTTTCCATCCAACATCATACACTCCAGGATCTATAGCTGGTACTTCCCTTCCCATCTCCTCAGAGCATGGCTCTGTGAACTGTGTATGCCCCTTAACTGAACATTTAGCTATCTCTTCTGGAAGTGTTCTTCATTTGGGGATTTTCTTGACCAGAATAAACACCCATTTCGCCTATACTGCCACGGGTTTCTTGCTGTCCTGTTTCATGGTCATAACCTGAAGACTTGTCTTTCCCCAGCTTAATATCCTTCAATTCACCATTGTCTTCAGGGTAATGTATACACCCCCAACATGCCATTCAAGGTATTCACAAACTGAACTCGTCTTTTTCTCAGCTGAATTATTGTAGTTCCACATCTCTTCCACTCCTTGCTTTACCTCAGTCTACTTCAAATATATCAAACTGTAACCAAGTACCTCTATTTTTTAAAGAAAAAGAGAATGAGTTACTTCTAAAATTATTTTCTTTTCTCTTTTCTCCATTTTCCTCTGTTCCCCACTTCCTACTTAGCCCTTTAGAAATGCCATTATAGCCTTCCACCTCCCCTTCACCAGACACTCCCTACAGGACAAATTCATCTAACTATGTGTTTAGAAGCTCTAGGGCAGAACTTTCACCCACCAGAACATTGCCTCCAGAGATGACAGTCAATTTACAACCCAGCATCCTGCTATGAAACTCTCCTCCATCTAGAGAGTTTTTGGCCACCTGTACGACCTATTTCTGCCCTTGAGGATGCCAACTCGACTGCCTGGTAGATAAGGCACCAAGCTAGCACACGGATCCCCACACCACCTGATGACTTCCCCCCCAACTTTATGAAAGTGCCCACTTTCTGCTCCAAAAGCAAAATGGTACCCTTTAGGCAGAAAGCCTGTACTTCTTCCCCTAAGCTAGCTTTAGAATAAAAGTCACTTTCTTTATTCCAGACCTCGCTCTTGTTAATTGGATTCTGCAAGTGGCAAGTGACTGAACCTGCTTTTGGTTACAACACTACTCACTCTGTGCTTTTTGGACACTTCCTCCTCATGAGCATTTGTTTCAGTCTTTAGGATACTCCTGTACCAATCTCTACTTGAAAAATTCTCTCTCAGGATGTGAGGGTTATCTGGCTGTGACATCTGTCACCCCATGATAACCAGGGTTGACTCAGCTGGTCTGGCTGGAGAGGCGGGTGTCCACTTCCTCCCTCACTGCTCCATATGTATCCCTCCGGAAGCTGTGCGTTTGGTCGAGGAGGGTGACATTCCCCAACAGATGAGCAGCTGCATTCCCCTGCTAGAACCTCCAGAGAAGCTCTCAAAATTCCCCCTCATCTTTGAAGCACCAACTCAAATACTTTTTCTTCTGTGAAGCCTTTTTAAATGCCTCAATACAGATTTAGTGACTTTTTTCCCTTGGAGTTTCACTGCACCTAATGTGTGTCTCTGTTATTGGAATCAAAGCATCACCTTATATTTACCTGTACTTTTCTCTGTACAATGAGCTTCTAGAGGACATTTTTCCTGACTTATTCCTATAGTCTTCTTTGTCTGTGACATGGCTTCATTACTCCTTCCTACTAGCTAAGTTGACAGTTTTAGACCTGGCCTGGGCATCGACCTTTTCTTGCTCCTACAGTTAAGTTATCATTTTTGAAATCATACGTTAAAAATTGTTAACATGTATCAAATACTTAGTAAATAGTAGACACTTTGTCAAGTTTTTCATGTGCATTTTATCTTCTAATTCTCAAACAACCCAGTGAAATGGAAATGATTATTATCCTCTTTGTACCCATAAGGCATTTGCAGTTCAGAAGATTTGAATACTTTGCTCAAAGTCACACCCATAGTAACTGAAAAAGTGACATACTATTTCCTGGAGCCCAGACTAATGATCATGAGCAAAAAACATGTATCTAATACAACTGCCTGAATTGCTTATACATAAACTGCCCAATTTTCTTTCTTTTTTTTTTGAGGCGGAGTCTTGCTCTGCGGCCCAGGCTGGAGTGCAGTAGCAGGATCTCTGCTCACTGCTAGCGCCGCCTCCCGGGTTCAAGCCATTCTCCTGCTGAGTTGCTGGGCTACAGGCGCGTACCACCACACCCGGCTAATTTTCTTTTTTTTGTATTTTTAGTAGAGACGGCTTTTCACCGTCTTAGCCAGGATGGTCTCGATCTCCTGACCTCGTGATCCGCCTGCCTCGGCCTCCGAAAGTAAACTGCCCAATTTTCTAAGTATCAGTATTTGAAGAGTAAAGGTTCAAGCATTGTTTAATGGATTTTGATGGGTCAGCTTAGCCTTTCTTTTTCCCCCCAGATTGTAGTTTGCAAATTTCCTTATCTGTCTACACAAGTTGTGGATTCACTAGTGTCAGTTTCTGGGTCTTCTTTGCTTCTATTATTTCTGTTTGAAGCGTAGTAAAAACAGAAAAACTTTCTTTTAGGAGGTTGTTTATCCTCTTCTGAGATGAATCTTGTGTTTATTGTTAATCACCACCACCCATTTTCAATTTCCTTCTTTGGGTCATTTCTCTCCAGTTTATAATGCCATCCAATTTAGAAGAGCAGATTTAATTAATAAGATGTATCTCTTTTAAGATTAATGAAAATGAGAAAACCAAAGGCAGCACTGGGCTCCTTGGCAGCTCATTCTAATATAAAATATTGAACAAATCAATCTTTGTGCTATTTTATTGTTCATAAGAGATTCTTTTCAAGGCAAAAATCTCATTCTAATGAGCTTTTTGGGGGGATTAGTCTAGATAAAATACTTGGCTTGTAGGGTAAGGAGATCAGTATACCACAGAGTACAGGGCCAGTTTCAGTTAAAGTTGAACCCCACTAGCAGCAAAGAGAATAACCAGAAATTGAGGTCAAATTCAAATTACCAAGTCAGCATCTGGATTTAAAGATCAGGATAAAAGCAGTGAGGAGACAGAGTGGAAGGGTATGGGTTCAGAGATAAAATCTCACCACTAGTGAAGTTATAAACTAGTAGTAATAGTAAATCACATTATGTAAGGGTCAAAGGTAGGAAGACTTGACCCTTACATAATGTGATTTATTCATTGCTACTAGTTTTCATTACTAGGGGAAAAGATCTCCAACTATTTATCTACATGAGTGGAATCATAAAGAAGCTAAATTTATAAACCCATCATGGCTATAATGATTCCATTTTTAGCATTATGTATTTAAAATCTGTAAAATACAATTTTACAGATTTTTAAGATTCTTAAGAGGAAATGAAGAACAGAGAATTCAAGCACTATTCATTTAAATTCTCATATTTGGAAGTATTTTTGGGAATTAGAGAACAGAAGACACTTACTATAAATTTCTCTTGTAGTTTCCAAATCTGAATTCAGAGAAAAGGGCTTGAGAAGCAAGTATTCCTCCATTTTATAAAATATTAAACTCTGGAAAATAATAGCAAACCTATCAATATGAATCTGTAAAATTATTCGTTTATTCATTCTTCTGTATATATATGTAAATGTGACTAAATATATACTAAACTTTTTCTATGTGACCTATTTTGACACATTATTTATAAAATCACAAACCTAGGGCTGTAAAAAATTATTAAGCAAGTTAAGTCAAAAATTTGTATTTAGGAGAAAATTCTTCAAAAAAATCAAACTTTATAAGGCATTAAAAATAAATTTTAGATGTTTAAACTGGTTGAGAAAAGTGAAATTATAAGCTACAAAATATATACATGTTTAGTTAGTTGCTCTTGCAAAGAAAATAAACTTTATAAGGATGTAAACGATAAGAAAAATCATGAAGCCAAAGGCTGATAAATTTGACTAGATTAACATTTAAAACCTTGATACATTAATAATATTGTTTTCACATATAAAACACAAATTGATTTTTTTGTGTGAAATATTGTATACACCAATAAGAAAAGCACTAAAACTGAAAAAGTGCAGAGAACAATTTATAGAAGGTTAAATACAAGTTGATAATTAGCACAAATTTTAAAACTAAAAAATTGTTAAGTTACCACATGTGCAAATTTAAATGAAAGAATACTATTTTACTTGTTTAACAGAAAAAAGAGCCAAAAATCTCACCAATTTAGAAAAGAATAAGAAGAATGTAATGTATACAACTATTGTTCTTATGGTAAACTGGTGTCACTTTCTGAGAAAAGTATTTAATGATATGGATTGAGCCTTAAAATATCTATATTGTTTTGCCTAGAATCTTCACCTAAGGCAATATGTCCCAGGGTACTAATCACAAAGGCATCCAAAATGAGCCTACAAGGAAATTAAGAAGAAAATCCTGAACAATACAAAAATTATTCAATAAGTACAATCACATGATGGAATATTATACTGCCATTAAAATAGGTTTTCAAGTAACATTTATTTTAAAAGAAATATCTGGATAATTTTTATAAATTTAAAAGAAGAGAAAGTAAATAGAAGAGAATGGGAATAGTATTTTTACAGTGCAAATCTGGGAGATATTTGAGAGACTGAGTCAAAATATAGCGTGGCTTTAAGACTGCATTCTCCATTTGGTCTGTGACACAGAAGGAGTTATGAAGGGCATGAGGGCCTTGATGAGCTAAGTTCAGCTGTGGAATTTATATAACTTTGGTTATGGGAGGAGGTGAAAAGAAACAACCTCTGGCAGGCTTTGGGGATAATCACTGAGCAAAGTTTAGTTAAATGTGGTAATATCTTTGAAATCAGTGTTTTGTTTTGCTTTGCTTTTTAAACGCACTAGTTATATACACAAGACTCTCACAAAGGGAAAATGTAGTAAAGACAGGAGTAGAACAGAAAATTTTAGAAGCCAGCTAAGGATTTAACAAAATATCATAGACAAGATGCAAGTGGAAGAAGCTGAAGTAGACGCAGGGACTCAACCTAGGCCATAGTCTGCTCAAAGGGAGGCTCCAAGTCTCAAAAGGAAATGTGAAAGTTAGTCTTATGTCATTGAAATCAAAGCCTGCAGAAGTTAAGCAGCAATCAGACATAGGATCTTCAGTAACTACCGGTTTAAGAGCCCTGTGGATAATGGTTTATTATGGTACCCTTATTATTATTATTATTATTATTTAATGTAAATGTCTATACCTGGCACACAGTAGAAATGCAGATGATTGGAAGGAACTGCTGAATGGAAGAATCAGAAAATGAACAGATTTGTTTATGTTGTCAATCAAATTATCAGGCTAATGCTTTGTTAAATGTTTTCATTAAAGCTTCATGACAAATAGTATTCATTTAAAGAATTCATGCTGTGGCAGATTTCTCAGAGGAAATTTACATACTTAAATACATTTATCCAGTTAACAGAAAAATTCAAAACATTGAATAAAAAATAAAAAACCTGATTCTTTTATAAAATCAATAAAATAACTGAAAAGAGAGGACAGAGATTTCCAGTATGGGGACAATTTTACAAATCCTACAGATATTAGAAAGATAAAAAGGGAATATGATGAACCACTTTATGTTAATTAATTCAAAAACTTAGTTGGAAAGAACAAATTCCAACCCTCATGCAAGAATAATTTGATAGGAACATTTAATAATTCTGCAAATCCATTAAGGGAGATATAATACCAATTTCACACAAACTCTTCCAGAAAATAAAGAGAAGTTCATATATCCTAATTCATTTTATGAGAACAGTGTTACCCTGTTACCAATATCAAAGTCACCACAGAGAAAAATAACTGCAGACTTCATCCTTCATGAATATAGCTAGTATTCTTTAAAAATAGCACTTAAAATAAAAATATATGTAAAGAGGATAATACATTATGACTAAGAGGAGTTTATTATAGGAATGCAAAGTTGGTTTAACATTAAAAAATTAATTGATGTAATTTCCTTTAGCCACAGACTAAAGCATAGAATCCACACAATCATCTCAATATATGCAGAAAAAGCAGTTGTCAAAATTCAGTGTCCTTTCATTATAAAAACTCTCAATAAAGTAAGAATGAAAAGGAACTTCCTCAATGAAATAAAAAAGATCTATGTAAAACTATAACTAACATCATATGTATTTAATGTTGAAAGTCTGAATGTTAGCCTATAAGACGGGAACAAAGGAAAGATATTCACTTTAATAATTCTATTCAATTTTGTACTAGGTTCCAGTTGATACAATAAGGTGAGAACAATAAATATTTCCTAGATTGATAAGCAAGAAACAAAACTCTTTATTATGACATGACATGATAACCTATGAAGAAAATCTTAAAAAACCATCTACTAGAATTAATATGTAAGTTTAACAATTTGTGGTTCATTTTTAAGAATGTTGGTGGGCAGTAATGTAAAATAGTTTGCATATGTCCATTAGGTAATAAAAAATATTGAAATCTACAATAGTATTTTTTTGCTTATTGTTCCAAAGTAAGAGAGATTTGTTATATATTCCCTGGATAATTTATCCTTATAGTCACATCAATTTTTGCTTTATACATTTTGAGACTATAATATTTTATTCATGAAAATCTAGAATTGTTATATCCTCATATTGAATTAAAATTGTATCATTTTGAAGTAAGCCTCTTTAATTCTATTAATGCTTTCTTGTATATTTTGTCTGATATTAATATAGCCTCATCAACTTTTATATCCAATTCTTTTTAGTCTTACTAATTTCAACATTTCTATTTCTTTACATTTTGTGGTTTAATAGTTGATATCTTCTAACAAGATTAAGTCCACTGAAATTTATTTCATTGTACTTGTGGGTATATAGTACACACATATTTCTAGTGATTTATTTTCTTCTGCTATCTAGTCAGTTTTTTTTTTCCTCAGGCAGTGGCATGAGTGCTGGGCTCTGATAAAATAACATTTGTGCCCTTACTGCTATTGGGATGTCATGGTTTCATGGTTTCTAGGCCAGTGCAAAGTGCTAAGAGAGATATATTTAAAAATCCTGATATTGCCAATTCAAGTTAACCTTATACATCCTTTCTTAACTTTTGATTTTATGCTTCATTTCTATTCTTATACTGAAAATTTGATTCCTGGTAAAATTAACATACTGTCTAATTTTCTGTGTCCTTCAACATGTATTTTTATTTCCTGGTTAAACTCTAGCTGCAAAACAGATAATGGTTTTAAGATGAAAAATGATGATGTTACTACTAACAAAAATAAAATTACTGATTGCTGTTTAAGATTTTTTAGTTATTTTGGCCTCAAACTATATTTCACCTAGAATGTAAAGTTCCTAGTTTTGTTTTCAAAAGTAACCTGAAACATTTTATTTGCAAGTTTTGTTTCTAGTTTGATACACTATTATGCTTGATATACAATTGTTTATATTTGTTTTCAGTTTTCAGATTTTCCTTTACTTCTCTTTTTAAAATTTTATTTTCTGAACATGTGCAACATTTATAGGGTTTAAAAGGCAAAATTGTTCTCCCCTTCCCTTAGCAGGCCAAAGCTCCAGTGCACAGGCTTCCCTTAACTCTCAGGACGAGAAGTGGCTCAGATGGGCGTACTTTCCTGTTCCCAATATTCTCACTTTTCGACTTGAACAGAATTCCTTCAAAAAAAATTCTTATAACATCATTTCATTTTTATAAAGCTATTATTAATAATGGTACATTGAGAATTTTCAAATATTGTATTACAGGAGGATTTCAGGATCTCTAGGCCATCAATTGCCAGAATAGGATCTTTCAGCACCATGTCATATTTATCTCTAATCTCAAATCTAGAACAAACATTATGCTGCTTAGTTTTTTGGTAAATAGTTATTAAATGAAAAAGTAAATTGATCCCTCTCCAATTCCATATTTTTTAATTAACAAAGACCGATATTTCTCAGCAGTAATGCTATTGACATTTAAGTCAGTTCATTCTTTGTCGTAGGGGCCTATCTTTTGCACTACAAGATGCTTGGCATCATTTCTGGTCTTTGACTGCTAGGTGTCCGTAGCAACCCTCCTCCTCACCCCGTAATCATGGTATTCAAAGGTGTCTCCAGACATTGTTAAATATTCCCTGGCAGGCGGGGTGGCAGTGGGGTGGGGCGGAAATTACTCACAATTTGGAGCCACTCATGTTTGACAATATGATAAGACATTTTGCTATGTTGATAAAAATGATATACTTTGAATATAAGATTTTTAGCCAACATGGTTGACATTTGTGGTGAAAATGAAATTACTTGCAATTATTTCTTGCCTTGATTGACTCGCTCCTTGACACTGTTTTGAGGAACAGATATGCCAGAGAAAGGTATCTCTCTAAACCCCTTAGTAGTGATAAAAACAGGCCAGTGGACATTAGGGTGTGTGTGTGTGTGTGTGTGTGTGTGTGTGTGTGTGTGTGTGTGCGTGCGCACGTGCATGTACATGTATGCGTGTGAAATATACTTTCCTCTGTGTGGCTGTAACAAAGCCAATTAATGTAGGAAGCTTTCCTACCCAGATGGTGCTCTATCTTTCTATGCTCTTCTTTCTCTGTCACTGTCACCCAGTCACCTACCTGGTCTCTCCCAGCACAAGTTGACCATTGCACTAGTACACATAAGAAATTTAGTGTCAGTCTTGGATAAAGCAGTTGGGCCAGTCATGCAGCATGTATTTATGAGTCCTGGTGACAAAGGAAATTAAAACTCTTGCTGTGAAAGGCAGATGAACTCTATTGGTGAGATTTATGTAGTTAGTAATGCAGCTTTTATTTGTTCTGCCAAGATATTCACTGTTTTTTCTCCACTCCATGTATCACTCTGTTTTCACGGACAGATATTTTTAAACCCATTAATTATTTAAGGACAAGAGAGGCATTATTAAGGATAAGTCAAAATGAAGGCTTTTGGAGAAGATACTTAATTCAGAGAAGAGCTGAGGAAAAACGTATACAGACAAGAACACCTGCCTCTTATTAGACTGATTAGCAAAGCACTGTCCTTGTTTCAACCAACAAACATCTGTTGAGAGTAAATTTTGTGCTTAGGAAGACCAGTGAGACAGAGGGCATGCCTCTGCAGTAGCTTATCATTAGGATGACCAAACTGGGGCATTTTTGAGAGTGAAAGGGATGCTATTAATAAATGCACTGGATAAGAGGCACGGCAAAGACCCATTTGGCTCCAAACCAAGATGAATTGGCTTCAAATGTAATCATACTAGTTAGGGAGTTAAGATACCTGATTAGCTAGATTTTTCTGATCTTCTACTTAGATGTATTGCAGATGAAACACTGAATTATTGAAGAAGGCTAGAAGAGTGCTGAATTCTTGAATGCTGGGCACAAGAGGTGGAAGGAGGAGATAAAATTTGTAAAACACTCTCAGAGGACCAACTGACATTGGTTAAACACCAAAGATGTGTTATCCATGCAAAACAGAGCATGTTCTCACATTGTCTTCTAGAATGTTATAAATTTCTAAGGGAAGCAACTTTATACAAATCACATTCTGTAACTTAGTGATGCATTGATGGTATTTTCATTTAAGTCTAGATCCATTCATTTCAAAGCTAATTATTGAGTATGTGTCGGGCACCATCAGCTCAGTACTCAGAGAAAGTGCCTCTCTTCAGGAAGTTTACCATCTGTAGGAGATGCTTGCAGTACAGTGAATGTTTCCTTTAAGGGATATTTTAGAATCTGTTTTACCAAAGGGAGTGATTATTATACGCACTGAATTTGAAAGACATAAAGAAAGTGAACATTTTAACTGCTTTCTGAAATGTGTACTTTTTTTCCACAAGCTAGGAATCCAAAAGTATTTATACCTGCTATTTAATGGCATTTCTTGGTAAATATATATGTATTTGATAAGTATATATGGCATTGTACCTATGTTATCTCATTTAATCCTCATAATATCGTTGAAAGCATGTATTATTATCTTATTTTACAGATGATGATACCAGGAGTTTAAATGGCAATGGGAATTTTGAATCACAGAATTAAGTAGAGCTGGAACTATGCACTGGACTTATGTAAAACATTTCCCTCAAATTCACTCTGACACATTTTCAGCTCTATGATGGACAATGGACGACAAACTAAGGGTGGCTTCATGGCAGTGGCAGAGGAGGCTTTAGGGCAGGGCAGCAATGCTAATCCCAACATCAGGACAAATGATCTGTCAGAGTGCAGGTGGTAGTCCCATTGTTTATATATTCTATTCTATTAAATATAGTAAATTATGCTTATTTTAGAGGCAAAGACCTTGAAGTTTTTTTGTTGGTAGTTTTCGTAAGTTTTTTCATTGGACAAACAAAATAGAGAGACCAGATTGAATCCACTGTCTTCCTGTCCATTGTTTACAACATGAGGTAGAAAAAGAGCCTGCATAATCCTCAGTTTATTTTGAGCATCAAGAGAGTATGTTCTTCCATATTCTCTCACTTTTAGCAGTATTTATGATGCTATAATGTCTCAAAATTAAAAGAATAGGAAAATGCTGTGTGGTCTTTATTTCTAACACCAACACTGTAAATGAGACTGTGATCTAGGCATATGATAATAACAATACAGGGATTCGATAGGAAAGGGGAGGAATTTGAGAAATGATTTAACCAATATGTTTTGAGTGGCCTAATGAAGACTGAAAATGACTTTGCAGCCTAGGCAGAAAAGTGAAATGGTAGAGGAAAGAAACAAGAAGGCAGACACAAGGAGGAGTCATCAAATTCTTCTCCTTATAAAGAATTTTGGTGGCATCAGCACCTTGAGTAGAGGAATGGAAAGGGTAAAACATCTGTCTATCTTTCCTGCCTATGCTGTGCCACTGAGTAACCAAATAGCAGATAAAGGGAGGTTTCTCTTTTTACTTTCCCTAGTGAATGCATGAAGGTCTAGTGCCATAATTAATGGGACTAGGTATTGCTCATCAATGGCTGCTAACATCATTGAACAAGATGCAACAATTATATTTTTCCCAGTGCAAGAACACACCACTACCTGCTCCTGTGTTGAAAGTCTGGTAAATAAGATCTGGTAAAAGCTGTGCAAGGATTGGGGAGGTAGAGTGGGAATCAAGGTCACCTGTCTGGCTGTTGCAGCTCTGTTCCCGGATCCTATTCTCCTGATTTTAAACACAGTTCACTTTCCTCCCCTATGCTTTTCCACCTCTTGGTTATTGTACCTCTCCTTTGCTCTGGAGTCCCAGTGATGGTGGTTAATGTTCTATAAAATCAGTGGACCAGAGTAACAGTAATGTGGTCATATACAGGAGAAAAGGGGGCTTCTCCCTTTCCCCAGCCGTATCCTTCCAGCCTGTGTAAACTGCTAAGGTTGAGATGGGCTCTCTGTATTCTCTGCCCTTGACAGTCTCTTTTTATTAACTAGCTTAGGTTCTATGTTTCTAAGAGAACTTGAGGCATCTATGGTTTCTTCTCCTATGGAACAGCTGTGATTTATTTTACTGAAAAATCTAAACTCTAGAAAGAAACCAAAGGATATTAGTGTCCCCATTGCTGAGGAATAGGCCATTTTCTTGAAAGTCTCTGACTAGATAAGTGTCATTACATTTAGAAGAAAATTTATTTATCAGAGCAGATGAATGCCATGGCCAAGAGCTATTTCTTGGCTGGAGCTTCTGGGCAGATGGAGCAGGCAAAGACATGGGGAAGACTGAGCTACTTGGCATCCTCTAATCCAACTCTTACGACTTTTTTATTTGTTCAGGGAATATCCTCTTACGTTCACACTTGGGTTTGAATGGTTGGAGCTGACTAAAATATAAATTAACAAGCTCTCCTGGTATAACAGATGAATCTATGTAAACTAGCTGTTAGTAGGTTCTTACTAAAGGGAATGTTATGTCATGGTTGACAGCATATGCTTTGGTAAAAACTGTGCTTAAATCTTAGATCCATAATTTTCTAGCTATGTAATCTTAAAATAAGGTACCAATCCTGCTTATGCCTCAATTTTCTTGTATATAAAATAAAGATGATAATAGCATTTATTTCATGGAGCTTCACCAGACTATTATGAGAATTAAATTAGTGAAAAAATATGAAGCCTTCGAGCACAGCTTAGTACCCAATGAGCAGTAAATCAATGTTAGTGATTATTAGATACCTAATTGTGTTGAACCTGCTCAAATCATCTGTTGCTGAGAAGCCTCTCTTGATTACTTTGTTTCACAACCATTACTCTTCTCTGGTGCCATAGAAAGGTGAGAACATTAGAAGCTGACAATCCTGGCTTTAAATACATATGGTAACATTTACAAACCAAGTAACTTGGGCAAGATATGTGTTAATAAGTCCTTTAAACATTTTTTTTCTATGACCTGTTAAGTTGCTGGATAATTAAATAAGATAATGGAGGTAGTGTTTAGTAGAATCTGGGAGACTAGATTTCAGTAAAAATAGCCTTCTCTACTGGAGGATTTACAATCTGCCTTTTTGCTTCTGAGGTATTGACCTTACTTCTAGGGCTTTGCACTGCTGTCCAACATGATCATTCCACATTCAAATGCTTTATTTTATCTTCTTGATTCCTTATGGGCTTCTGATATATAGACCAGAAATCCTGTTGCTTTGAGTAACTTACGGGCACTGCCAAAGGGTAAGAAACTGATTTCCTTAGTGCATTCACCATTCAACACATATTTATTGAATGACAACTATGTGGCAGCACTGTGAAAGAGAGATATGAGATCTATCAATCCAGACAGTTTCTGTTCTAATGGGGCTTGCAGTCTTAGGAAGAAAATATATCAAATTCATAATTACACAAATGGTCATTAAATCAATGCAATGGGAGTTACTATTTTTGGATTTTACTGCAGAAATACTTTTCATAGAATATTCAACCTTAAATTCTTAAAAACATATGGGTTTCATTGTTTACTGTTTCTAAAATTATTAATTAGAAGATGTTATTGGAAGGCAGGGTGGTGTCTCACTTAAGAAAATTAGCTGTTTGTTGAAATAACAGAATTGCCATCTCTGGAAGGGTTCACAATGGTCTCATGGAATGTTACTATTTCCTTGGATTTTGTAAACCACATAGTATGCATTTGTAGTACATCAAGAGTCTTTCTATAAACTGAATGTTTATGTCTACTCAAAATTCTTATGTTGAAATCTAATCCTCAGCGTGGAGATATTTGAAGATAGGGCCTTTTTGGAGATGACTAGGTCATGAGGAAGTGGCCTTTGTGAATGAGATTAACATCCTTATAGAACAGAGACTGCGAATAGCTTCCTCACACCTTCTACCATGTGAAGGCACAGCCAAAACATGGCCATCTATGAACAAGGAAGTTGACCCATACCAGTCAGTGAATCTGCCAGCTCCTTGATCTTGGACTTCCCAGTCTCTAGGACTGTGAGAAATATTTTTGTTGTTTATAAGCCACTCACTCTATGACATCTTGTTATAGCAGCTGGAAGGAACTAAAAAAAATTCCTAAACTGAACAACATCTCCAGAACACTAATTCTCCAAACTAAGGAAATATGCACATTTGGCTGATACACTAAACAGTGACAACAGGTTGACAGACTTGATTTTGGCAACTGAATCCATTGATTGTCTGTCTCACACTACAGGTGAACACTGTGCAGGTAAATGAGGGTCCTATGACCTATGATAAAAAACCTGCAAGTGTCTTTGCACCACCAACGAGAGCAAAAAAAGATTGAAAACCAAAAGAGTTTTATGCCCAAATTGAATTTTGTCAAAAGTTTGAAGTAATTTCATTGTAAAAATATATTCTGACAAAACTTTTAAGGCTACCTTTCCTTCTCAGAATAAAGTTCATTTTGGTTAATATTGCACCTATTGTGAGGGAATGAGATTAAGGGAATTTCCACTGAATCTAAGGAAAGGATGTGTGTCAGACATTGTGAGACCACATTGGGTGGCTGAGTGGGGCTAAAGGAACCTTATCTATATTTTGGGGGGGTGTGGTGGGTAAAAGCTTGCTGAATTAAAAGGAGACATGATCCTGTGGAACTAGGAAATTGAGTAAGTGAAAGTGAAGGAGTGTTCTCCCTTCCTTCCATGCCTGCTTCTCCTCTGCACTTCTGCTGACTTTCCTACGACTCAGTGAAGGTGGCCGGAGACACCTGCCCTGCAGCTTTGGGATTCTATAGCTTTTAAGTTCCAAACATCAGGCTGTGCTGTGATTGAAATCTCTAGCCACAATTCCAAATGCTTAAAAAGTGACTGGGATCTCTCTAGGTTGTGTTAGGTGTCCATCCTCAGCCTAGTTAACCTTGGCCATGAGAATGGGATCTTCTATGTGACTTGACTGTAGGGAGCCCATTTGTATAAACGGGGTAGATAGTTCTAAGGAAAATAGAATGTCTTTGACCCACAGCCTGGGAGAACACCTGAAAAGGCGTCTACTGCTTTATCAATTTTAAGTTTAAGAATAATTGCACTAAGAGAGTAGATTTTAAGTGTTTTGACCACATAAAATGATTACGTATGTGAGATGATGATGCATAGTTAATTACCTCTATATTTCCATTCCACAATGTATATATATTTCAAAACGTGATGTTGTATACAATAAACATACACAATTTTTATGTGTCAAATGAAAAGAAAAAACAAGTAAATAAGGATTGAGAGGAGAAATTTTTATTCTAAGTAAAAAAATATGCATTGCAAATAAGTCTTGCTCAGCACCACAGATAAGCAAAACAAAAGATAATGAAAATTAATCTTTATTTTGCCTGAGCATAAAATATAATTAAACTACTCCTCAAATTAATAATAAGCTTAATTTGTCTTCATTGAACACCCATCTGCATGCCTTCCAGCATTCTTACGATTAAAGATGAAGTCAACCTGAATTGCCACAAAGAATGTTGTGAGGTAGGAATTATCCTTTGGGGAGACTTTCAGGCAAAGGTGGCTAAATCACTCCCCTAAGGGATCACCTCTGATACCTGAGGCACACTCAGAGCCCCAGAGCTCCCAAAGAATGGGGAGCCAGACATAGAACCAAGTTAATAAGGAACAAAGTCACTTCTTATTCATCAGAGCTTAGCTGAGTCGTATAATCCCACTCAACCTGTCCCGATGCCCTAAGCTCCACAGTTTCTGTTAACTCTCCCCTGATTCCAATTTGCTTTATCTGCCTTTTAATGTTTCTGGAATCTCTGTGGCCACTCTTCACCCACATAGGCGTTAACATGTCTTGGCAGTTACTGAAAAAAATAATTTTTATAAATAATTCATGATTTTAGTGAACAAACATTCTAAAATACATTCATTTTGGGGTTGTCTCTGGAATAAGAAAATGGAAAATACATAGTTTCTGCCTAGTAGAGGTTCTCCTGGACTTTGTTCTGATCATCCTTGTACTAATTTTTATCATTATGATTATTACTGATTTCTTGCTAAGGAAGAAGTTTTGGAAGCTATTGGTGGAGGTTCAGTCAGATTGGGTGCTGCATTGGTTTGATCGGATTTATTTTGGGTAGGGATCAATAGTTCTTAAAATTTAAGTATAGTTCTTGTAACTACTCCAGTGTCTTAGAGTTGTGTGTTTGGTTTGGGTTGATATTAGAATATGGAGTTCTGCTTTCACCAAATACTAGCTATATTCGTTTTACTTACTCTCACCAATCTGCCCTTCTTGACAAGGACTCCTCAGGCACAATCAGGTAAAAACTAGAGTACAAAGGCATTTGTGATATTTTGTGATACATGCTTTCTAAGATTAGGATACAAATTCATGGGAAATGAAAGACATTTATTTGAACTTTTGACTAATTTAGAAAGTAGAGGAAATCAGGCCAGGCATCCCTCAGCCTTTTGCCTCCTACCCTGTTAAACTCATCTGCAAGCGCACACGGCCATCCTTCTCTTTCTCCTCCCTCGTGTGAAGAATCCCTCTCTGTGCTCTGGAATGTGCTTCTGCACTTGACCCAAGTTAAATATACAAATTTACATCTGATTAAATACACAAATATTATACACAGCTGATAACATACACAAATCTCTTCTATCTTAAAAAAAAAAAAAGCCATGTTCCCCAGTCTCTCCTGCAACTCAGCACCTGCATGAGGCACAGCTCCATCTCTTCTCTTCCCTCACTGTCACCCCCCTTTCCTGTCTTTAATTAACTTTAATGCAGTTTTCAAGTCCTCCCAGCCTGACTATAATTGCTCATGCCAAGGTCAGCAGTAACTTCAGAAATGCCCGAAGACTTTTCTTTCACCTTCTTGCCCTTGCTGCTGTCCTTGGTACTTTTTACCACACTAGTAGTTTCAAACCTGGCTCCTTCCTTGACTGCCTGTCACCACCCATTTTAGGTTCTTCCCTGCTGTTGGTCTCGCAGGGATGTTCTGTGTGACTTCCTCCTCACCTGGCATTCTTGCTACTCCTATCACCTGATGTCTCCCACATCTCTTTCTCCAGCCCCCATTTCCCATCTGAGCACCAGCCACATGACCACCTCTGTATTGAACATCTGGACTTTCAACCTGGATACCCCAGGGGCATCTCAAATCAACCTGTCTGGCCTAGACTCATCCATCTCCACGTTGCCCTACGTAGACCTGCTTCTCCTCCTGCATTCCATAGGTCAGTGAATAACAGATACCAGCCTGCATCCAGCCGCCCAGCCCAAAGCATCAGTCACCCATAACCTCTTCAAGCTCACCTCAAACATCCAGTCAGGCACCAAATTTTACCTTCAAATGTCCCTGTGATTTATTTTAGCTATCAGAAATCTCTTGCCTGGATTATAGAAACAACACTTGGAAGCCTCATTTCAGTGATTGCAGCTTTTGCCCTTATATCCGTCCAACTGCACTGAAGCCAAGGTAATCTTTCTGAAACACAAATGTGGTAATGCCAATTTCCTGCTTAAAATTCTTGAAAAGCTCTCAGGCATGCAGAGTTAAGTCTGTGCTCCCTAGCATACCATGCACAACCTTCATCTGTCTTTTGCTTATATTTCCAACATTTCCTGCCAGCCCCTCCACACTCAGCTGTATGCTCTGTGGTTTGCAAGAGGGCAAATGTTATTATTTTTTACTTATCCCCATCTCGTGAGTCCATAAGAGTTCTATTTTCCTCTTACAGATTTGCCAGAAGTTATGTAGCAACCTCAATCCCCTGTAATATAAACAGTCTACAGTCTGCTTCAGTATGAAAATATCTCTGCTTTTGATGTATTTGGTTATTTCCACTTCTCTAGTCTCCACTGCCCTGAAGGGGGTTCAGAGCCTGGAGTACCGGCAGTGATGAGACAAGAGAGTTCTTGACCTGGTAGATACCTAGTAGTTGTCATCCATTTCTTCTTTTGTCTGCTCCTGTTTTATAGTTTCTGCAGAACTGGAAGACTGGTTTCTGGGAACCTGGTGATTGGTCAGTCCAAGTCCAAAGTGGTTGCTCTTCATGGATTTGCACAAGTAAATATCAACATTTCAGGCCAACATTACTTTGTGAATGCCAATCCCTGGGCATAAATTTTTTTCCCAGCCCCTATGTTCTTCCCTACCACCAGCCCGACTCAGCACCTGGTGAAATCTCACTCTGGCTTCCAGGTCCAGCTCATATACTTCCTCCTCTGTGCATCCTTCCCTCACACCCACCCTTCTCCAGTGCAGTTCATTATGTCCTCTGCAGTGTACACAGAGGACATACATCCCTCTAACATTGTGGTTACCCTGCTGTGTGCTGAAAGCCACCCTGGTATCTGCTTGTTTCTCTCTTTTGCACTTGATGAAATATTCACAGGTGGTCACAGTCTCAGTCACCACTGTTTTCAGTATCAAGCTTGGTGCTGAACAATTGCTCAGTAAATGTCCATCAGATGAACAGTGGGTACCTACTTGGGAAAACATAATAAAATGTATTTGTCCTATCACCTAACTTTATTTACAAAGGAATTTTAAATAGAATCATAAAGCGTCAGAATAGGAAAGAAACCATGAAGTCACCAGAGGAAGTGGTGGTAACTGTTTCCCAGTGAAAATCCCCAAATAGGTTTATGTGGGCAAATGAGAAGGAACCTTGGAAAGATTCCACTGGAAGGCATTTTGATTTCCCAGAGTGGGCTGGCCCCTGTAATGCAAACACAGATCTGATCATGAGCTCTGAGCCGAGCAGACTTGCTCTTTTTGAACCTCCTCCTGCTAGGATTCCTTGGGCCCTTCAAGGGGCACTCCCAGACTAGGGTAACAGGGGTTTCTCCCACTACAGAAGTGTGGAATATTATGGAATACTATAAAGTGACTCTGTTCCCTCCAACCCCTTCACTTCCCGCTTACCTCTCCATCCACTCTGCCCCCATTGACTGATTTCTTCTGGTTCTGAGGAAGTCTCTCCTCCTGACTCAGGATCAAGGCCAGTCTCAGGCCCTGCACCACCATCATTCTCCATGCCACAGGAGCACCCTCCACTCCTAGGCCCTGCGTGTGGTGGCTGATCACTACATGCTTAGCTGGGCCTAGCACAATGCTGACGCAGGGACATATCCTTCTTCACTCTCTGGCAACCCCCTGGACGCATCTGCCCTTTCAGGATTTTGTTTCTGACAGTCTACCTCCAGCTGGCTTCTTTTCACTAGTTTCAGCAGATTTAGGCTGGGTCTAGGTTTAGGGCTCCTGAGAAGTCTCATTCCCCCTTCCTTCCCTGTGGGAAGGCCGTTTCTTACTTCCTACTGAAGATGAGATGTCTTCTCTAGATTTTATAGCTCAAATGTCAAATAAGGTGGGGTTTAGGCCTTGGGATCAGCATGAGGAGATTTGACTGCCCTCGTTTCCCTCATTCAAAGCTGTGCGGGTGTCCCCAGGAGCTTGCACCAGCTCTGCCCCATCTGAGAATTCCCTTCTGATTCTCTGTTCAACTTCTTCCAATTAATGTGCTCAGGTTGTGAATATCACTATGGGGCTTAAAGCAGTTAAATTCTTCAAAACAGCTTTTGACTTTTAGCTTCTGGGTTCTCAAAAGTCCCCCAACCCCACCAGCTCCAGGCCCTTATATGCAGTTTTTACCCCATTTATACACTGCCGTCTGAAACACAGCAGAAATTGCATTCATCCCTCAGAGAGTGTGAATGTTTTGAGAAAATTACTCAGCATTTAAATGTCAAGATAATCAAGACCACACAGCCACAAATAATTACATAAGGATAGAGAAGAGGCATCTCCACTACCCAGGCTGCCAGGGCCCTTCCCAGGGCCAGGGAGTCCAGCCCACACGTTTCTCAGGTAAAGAGGAAATAAACAGCAGCAATGGACCACGGCCCTACCCCCCATGGAAGCTCCCCCTGACCTCTCCTGAGGTCTCATCTGAGGCCCATAAGTACTTAGACTGGATGGATATCTCACCCTCATAAAGCCCTCCATGGCAATCAGTTTTATTTTGAAAATTGTTCTACATCTCCCCTCTGCTAAGACTTGAAAAAAAAAAAAAAGGAAAATGCTTAAGGAAATATTGCAATGCTCTTTGAGTCCTGATGAAGCAGCCATACTAATTCACTTCTTCCTTGTGGGAGGTGGTGAAACACCACACAGCTGCTCAAAGCCTATTTTGGAAGTGGATGCTGGAGAGCAGCAGCCCCTGGGCACTCCCTCCTCTGAAGGCCTTCACTGTGTTTCAAATGAATTGGAGGACTTGATTCAAGCAGGGAGATATTTTCCTGATTTGTTTTTTAGTGTCAGGGCACTGGCAGCAACTGGAGATGTTTAAATTGTGAGACATCAGGAAGTGAGAGCATGAGTACTTACACATAGATTGGGGGAAGACTCCAACCACAGGATTTGCATTTAGAGAGAGGGCTGGGACTAAGATATCTGGATTCCACAGGACCATTTCTATTTCAGAGAGATATCCTCCTAATTAATTTCTTTACAAATAAAGAGCTGTCCTTATCCTAATTATTAAAAGTGAAGACAGAAACACACTTATGGCAGGGCGCGGTGGCTCACACCTATAATCCCAGCAGTTTTGGAGGCTGAGGTGGGCGGATCACCTGAGGTTAGGAGTTCGAGACCAGCCTGGCCAACATGGTGAAACCCCATCTCTACTAAAAATACAAAAAATTAACTGGGCTTGGTGGTACACACCTGTAGTCCTAGGTACTTGGGAGGCTGAGGCAGGAGAATTGCTTTAGCCTGGGAGGCAGACATTGCAGTGAGCCGAGATTGCACCACTGCACTCCAGCCTGGGCAACAGAGGAAGACTCTGTCTCAAAAAAAAAAAAAAACAAAAACAAACAAACAAAAAACAAAAAAAAAACAAAAGAAAGAAAAGAAAAAGAAAAACCCCCCAAAAACGAAACAAAACAAAACAAAAACACTTACGATGTTCTTGTCATGGTAATTGATATAAATTGTCACCTTGCCAAGGTGCCAAGCTCCATCCTGCACACAGTGGGGAGATAGCACTCCCACAAGCTCAGACCAAGATCAGCTAAATAGGGTACATGCAAGTCAATGGCATCTTGGCAGCTGAGACAGTAGGTGCATGGGGCAGTCAGAGAGAGTGAGAACTGAGCCTGGTGGTGAGTTGTCTAGGAAATCAGCAGTCCATCTACATAAGGAATCCACCCTCTATGACTTTACTGCCTCATGCACGATATTACATCCTTTAAGGAAGCCTTTAATTCATCTATTGTCAAAACAGTGAAGGCTCATAAAACTCTTACAGCCCATTCACACAACTTCTCTTTGAGAATGCAGCTGGGCACTGATTTGGTTGATGGTGTCTGTCTTGAAGCTTCCTAATCAGACTGCAAATCTCCCCATTAGCTCATCAATGACCATGTTACAAAATCTATAAGTCATTTCCCGGGCCTTGTCCTACTTGACCTATCAGCAGCATTTGACCTAGCAGACCATGTGCTTTCCAGGATACCATAGTCTCCTGAGTTGGCTCGCCCCTTTTTATGTCATTCTTCTTCATGGAGCTCTCATTAACCTGAGCTCTAAAACATTGCAGTCTCCTGGTTCTTATAATTCATAGACCTCTAAGGTGCTGCATGGATTTACACTAGGGGGCACATTCACATAGATATCTTGGTGCTATCTGGAGTTCTGCAATGCCCAGTTATTTACTAAACCATTGCTGAAGCATGATCATAGACCAATCAATGCTGGTCTACCAACTGTTTGCTGCCAGCTCACAACAAGACAAGGACAGATATTGAGAGCACTTATTTAGAAACATTTAGAGCAAAGTGACAGTGTTGCTGCATCCACACTACCCCAGTTAGACTCTTCTAGTGTTCATGATCTGATCAGGTACAGACCAGTTTGGGCATTGTTGAACTCGTGGAGAGACACACGTGATGTGAGCTGTGTACCGGGCATGTGAAATAGGATAGAGTGTGATATTTTCACTTAAATTAGTCGAGTGAAAGTACATAAAATCTGAATCCATGTCTTTTATGGAAAAATAATTTCAATAAAAAATAAGTAACCCAACTGTAGTTAATAATATTGTATTGGATACTTATAATTTACTGAGAGTAGATCTTAAGTGTTCTCACGCACACACAAAAAAAGATTATTGTGAGGTGATGAATGTGTTAACTAGTTAACCTGCTTGTATTAATCATTTTACAATGTATAGGTATATTAAATACCATGTTGTACACTTTAAATATATACAATTTTATTTGTCAATTATACTTCAATAAAGCTGAAAAAATATAATTTAAATCAACTAACATGTTATAGGATATGTCATTGAATGTGGCTGCTGCTGAAGAATTGAAGATGGATATTGAAAATATAACTTTCATTTTACATAAAGGCTAAATATGAATATCTTGAGCCTAGAGAATTTGCTTTAAAATTCTTTCTTCCATACCCATCAACCTATCTCTTCTACCATGAGTAATAGTAAAACAAAACATAGAAATAATTTAGGTACACCTTGTCCTCAATAAGTACTCTTGTCATCAATCCAACTTAGATAAGTTAACAAGGAAGAAGCAAATTCATTTGTCCCTTTAAAAAGTTAAATGTTGATATACAGTGAATGTTCAAAATGTGTGTAGAGATTTTGAAAATGTGAAATCACTGTCTCATTCTTAATGTTTTGCTTAGCTGTATTTCAAAAGGATAAAAAATAAATGCAATGCTGTCACTAATCACCTATATGCATAATTTCAATGAGCAATGCACAGTTTTGGTAATTTTTTTCTACATTGTGCTTTTCCTGATTATATTATTGAAATGTATTTTCATATCTGTTGAATATATTAATACAAATTTGGGCTTGCATTTTATATGTATTTATTTTTATTTCATTTTCTTTTTCTAGTAATTTATTTTATTTTTACAGAAGTGTCAGACTGCAGTTGACTAGAAACTAACACACACACAGATACACATTTATAGACCTCAGAGGCAATGCAGCCCTGGAATTGTGCTAGTCCTTCTATTTTCTATGTATACTTACACTCATGATGATATCATCAAATTTCATGTCCTTAAATTCCATCAAAATGCCAATGACTTCCAAATGTGTCTCTTCAGCCCAGACTTCTCCCCTGAACTCAGCTTTGCTTGTCCAATTGCCTACTTGACATTTCCACTAGGATGAGTAACCAATCCAAAACTGAACTTTTGATCTTCCCCTATTCCCACTCAGGATGCTCTCCTTGTGCAAAACTTCGTCATCTCAGTAAATGAAAAGAACATCTTTCTAGGAGCTCAGGCGAAACGCTCAAGAGTCGTAGTTGACTCTTCTCTTTTTCTCACAGTTCACATCTAGTCTCTATTGAAATTATCTTGGCTCCACCTACGAAATACATCCAGAATTTAACCACTTCTCACCACCTCCATTTCCATTATGCTAATCCTAGCATGTATCCCCCGTGTCTGGATTACTGCAATGATCTCCTAAACAATCTCTCTGCTTTCATTCTGTCTTCCAGTCTCTTCTCAGCTGAGCAGCTAGAATGAACACTTCAAAGCAAAAGACACTATGTCACTTCTCTGCTCAAATCATTCCATCTGACTCAGTCTAAAAGTCAATTGCAATGACCTTTCATACCATGGGTGGTCTGCTCTCTTCCTTTGTCCACTAGGACCCAACCACACTGGCTTCCTTATTGTTCATCACATGCTTCTGCCTTGGGGGCTTTGCACTCATTGTTTCCTATTTCTACACTCTTTTTTTTTTAATTTAATTTTTACTTTAGATTCAGGAGGTACATATGCAGGCTTATCACAAGGTTATATTGTGTGAGTCTGCAGTTTGGGCTTCTATTGATCTTGTTACCCAGAGAGTGAACACAGTACTAATAGAAAGTTTTTCAGCCCTGCGTCCCTCCCTTCTCCCATCTTTTGGAGTCCCTCATGTCTGTTGTTTTCGTCTTTATGTCCATATGTACCCAAGGTTTAGCTCCCACTTGTAAATAAGAACATGTGATATTTGGTTTTCTGTTAATTTGCTTAGGCAAATGGCCTCCAGCTGCACCCATGTTGCTGTAAAACACACGATTTCATTTCTGGTACATTATTGACCAACAGATCCCCTTAGCTTGCTCTCCAGTCTCCTACAGGTATTTGCCTAAATGTCATCACCTCAGTGAGGCTTTTTATTTTTAGAACCTACGTAAATTTGCATCCCTCCGGCTTCACCTCTTCCCTTTTCCTGCAGTATTTTTCTCCACAGAACTTAATACTTTCTAATACACTGTATAATTTACTTTTTAAAGCTTGTCACTAGAATATAAGCTCCACAAGGGTAAGAATTTTATATCTTTTGTTCATTGCTGACTTCCTAGCATCTACAACAGAGGTTAAAACTCTAATAAGTACGCGCCCTTCTAATTATGAGATCTGTTATTTGACTGTGAGCCCCTGATGAGGAGATGAAACGCACTGCAACATTTTGACTGCTCTGCTTACCCCAGTGCCATGCAAAGAACAAGGATTCATGCATACTTATTAAAAAAATGAATCAAGTCTGTCTGGGAACATTGCAAATAATAAGAATGTACCACCAGACCTCCTGGTTCCTATTATCTCATTTTGAAGATGAGACATCTGCAAAGTCAAAAGATTTCTCTGGATGTGAGAGACAAACAGTAACTTCTGTGTAGTTCTGGGAAGGAGGCATCATAGAGCAGGTGTGTTTTGAGTTCCAGTCCTCAGCAAGAGAGAGAGAAAAAAGATTACTCATAGAGAGGTAGGAAAAGGTTTTAATAAAGTATAATTTCCAAGAATTTGAGTAAGTTCTCTTAGGCCTAATATCCCTTTCCAACTTTGAGGACTTGCCCTACTGTCAGAAATCTCCACATTTTCTTTACTCTTCTAAAAAGTAACATCTAGAAGTGAAACTTCTCGCCCCCATGAGATTAAAATTATATCAAATCTCAATTTATTTGCCAAAAGACAATTGAGAATTAGGCTTGAGTTTCAAGAGAAAGGCCTCAGTTATTATGCACATGGAAGAGATACAAAATCACTACTTTATTTTTAAGGACAAATAGGACAAATGGGGGGAGAATGATGGTTACATTTTGGGAATGTTAGATAAGAGGGTATAGAAGCTTGTAGGAGTTGCTTGTCTTTCCTTAGATTATAAAGGAATAGTACTACTATGATAGTCATTCACACTTTAGTATAAACAAGTGCAACCTTATTTTCTTCTTCAGGGAGATTTGAACTGCAGAACTGCAGACCTCATCTCTGTTTATACAAAGAACAGATTTAAGTATCAGTGGACCAGTGAGAGCAAGGATAGTTTTATTTATTAATCAACATGCTTCTACCTAGCTTCCATACTTCCCTTCAGATTTCTAAATTCCTGGCCATATTGAATGGTCCACTTTAAACAAAAGCACCAATAAACACAGAATTTACTGTCAGGAGAGATCTCTAACACTTAGGTTTTTATTTTGCACTCTTATTGAATAGCTTTGAAAACAGAATAGTAAGAATATCTCATGAAGAACATTTACAGTTGCTGGTGTGCTGTGCTCTTCTCCTGCTGGACAAGGCCAGAGCCTGAGGTATAGGATATTCTCTAGCATAAGCTGGGGCCTTGAAGAATCAGAATGATATATTTCTTAGAATTCAGAATAAAGATATATTATTCATCCTCCCTGGCATTTATTATCCAAACAGCTGTGAAAATGCCAAACTACTGATTACATTCACCACCTGCTTGTTTGATGTCTTGAACTTTATGAAGTTACTAAGAGAATCCATGTTTTAATTTTCATTAATGACTTATAAAAATATATTTTTTCTATGGAAAACCTGAATCCAACAGGCTCTACCTTACGAAAGGAAAAGAGCATATCTCTTCTCAAAGCCTCACATTTCTCATCTATATAATGAAACTTTTAAACTACAGAACCTAAAAAACAAAGCACAGATTTGGGTGACAATCTTGGATGGTAATACAATCTTGGAATGCATTGTGGATGTGGAAATGTAGGCACGTGAGGGACAACTTGGCAGTTTATAAGTCCATGGAACATAGTAACATAGTATTTGCAATTAGGTCTGTTCTTGGGAGTCTTAAGAGTGAGAGTTCCATCAGTGTTAAGGCCCTACCAAATACAAGGATTTTTAAATTGAGATAACACTCATAAACCTGCTAGAGGCTGGGCGCAGTGGCTCAAGCCTGTAATCCCAGCACTTTGGGAGGCCGAGGAGGGTGGATCACTTGAGGTCAGGAGTTCGAGATCAGCCTGGTCAATGGGTGAAACCATGTCTCTTCTAAAAATATAAAAAGTAGTGGCCATGGTGGTGCATGCTTGTAATCCCAGCTACTTGGGAGGCTGAGGTAGGAGAATTGCTTGAACCTGCGAGGTGGAGGTTGCGGTGAGCTGAAATTGTGCCACTGCACTCCAGCCTGGGCAACAGAGTGAGACTCCATCTTTATAAACAAACAAACAAGCAAGCAAACAAAGAAACCTGCTAGAGACAGGTCTAGCAGAAAGATGGACATATTATAGAATCTCAGTTTGTTCTCTTCAAATGCCAACTCTTCCTCTGTGGCCACTTTAGCTCTCTTTGATTTTTTTTTTCTTTCTTGACCAAAATAAAAAGTGTTTATCTGCAATATAAAATACGTATATTTTGTTATTCTAAGGTATGATGGATCATTTCTGGATTCTTTTTCTTGTAAGAATTAACACTTATGTAGTATGCATGGTATGCCAAAAATTTTCAAATTATTTCACATATGCTAACCACATAGACTTGTCTAATCATCACGACAATATTATGGGCTTGGTGCTATTATTATTTATGTTTTATGAGTAAGAAAACAGAGGCATGGAAAGGTTAGGTAAGGTTAAGGTCACAGTGCTAGTGAGAGGCAGAGGCAGGACACAAGTACAGGTAATCTGGTTCCAGAATCTATTACCTGTAACCCTCACATTTGGGTGTCTCTTATTAATGAAATCAAATGCTCCTAGAAAAGGTGTTTTAATTTTCCTTGTTAAAACTAATTTTTATTTTAGGAAAGTTAAAGCCATAGACTTGGCCTATTTAAATTCAACTTACTCTTTTATCTTCCTCTCATACTTCAGTATTTCCTCCTGTATTTTAAGATTTCAAACTGGGCCGGGCGCGGTGGCTCATGCCTGTAATCCCAGTACTTTGAGGGGCTGAGGCAGGCGGATAGCCTGAGCTCAGGAGTTATGTTATAAAATTAATATTAAAATGCAAAGAAATGAAAATAGTCAAAACACTTTTGGGAATGAAAAACAAAGTTGGAGAGTTAATACCACCTGACTTCAACAGCAAACCACCCTGGGCAACATAGTGAAACCCCATCTCTACTAAAATACAAAAAATTAGTTGGGTGTGGTGACACGTGCCTGTAGTCCCAGCTACTCAGGAGGCTGAGGCATGAGAATTGCTTGAGCCCGGGAGGCAGAGGTTGCAGTGAGCCGAGATCGCGCAACTGCACTCCAGCTTGGGCTACCGAGTGAGACTCCATCTCAAAAAAGAAAAAAGAAAAGATTTCAAACTGGATATTTGAAAATACCAATAAAATCAATTAACTTCTAGAGTTTGATGAGGAATAGAGAAGACACAATTTTCCAGAATTATGAATCAAAGAGATGAAATCGATATAGGCTCTATGGATATTAAAAAGGAATATTATTAAAAATATTATGTTTTTATATTTGAAAACCTAGATGAAATGATCAAATTCCTTCAAAGACACAAATTAGTGGAGTTCACATGCACAAAAATATATAACCTGAGTCTATTAGAAAATTGAATTTATGGTTAAAAACATTCCCACAAAGGAAACTACAGGCCCAGATTATTTCACTGGTAAATTCTACTAACTTTTTTAAGAAGAGATAATACCAATTCTACACAAATTGTTACAGAAAACTGAAAAAGAAGAATTACTTTGTAATTTATTGCCTGAGGCCAGCATTACCTGAAACCCAGAGTAGACAAAGACATTTCAGGAAATGGCCCAATACAGATCAACAGCCCTCATGAACATAAAGGCACATTTTCTAAACGAGGTTTTTGAACATCACACACTGGGGCCTGTCGTGGGATGGGGGAGGGGGGACGGATAGCATTAGGAGATAAACCTAATGTAAATGACGAGTTAATGGGTACAGCACACCAACATGGCACATGTATACATATGTAACAAACCTGCACGTGGTGTACATGTACCCTAGAACTTAAAGTATAATAAAAAGAGAAAAAAACACATTTTTTTGTATAATTTTCATATACCCTAAATTTTTCAGAAATAAATCATTATGTGAAAAAAAAAAGAAATTCAGATCTCAAGATATATACAAAGTATAATACATCATGACCAAGCATAATTTATCTGAAGAACCTGGGGTTGATTTCACCTTCGAAAATCAAAGAATATAACTTGCTATATGAACAAATTACATCAGGTGAAATCCAACATCTATTTCTGATAACAACTCTCAGCAAACTGGTAACATCAGAAAACTCCCTTAACCTGATAAAAAACATCTATGAAAAACTTAGAGTTAACATCATACTTGCTAATTTTGAAAGACCAAATACCTTCCCCCTAAGATCAGGAATAAGATGAAGGTATATACTTTTCATCAATTCTATTCAATATTAAGCTGGAGGCTATTAGATGGTAAAATTAGGCAAGAAAATGTCATAAAAGGTATTTAGATTGAAATGAAGTAAAACAGTCTATACAGACGATTTATCATTACATAGGCTATGTATCATTGCTCATGGAAAAAATCTGATGGAATCCACAAAAAAGACTTCAAGTATAAAGTTGATTTAGCAAACTTGCAGGATACATAATCAATATGCAAAAATCACTTGAATTCCTATATACTATGAATAAATCATTTGAAATTGAAATTTAAAAATTCTATTAATCACAGCATCAACATTTATGAAATAATAACAGACAAATCTAACAAACATGTTAAAGACCTGTGAATTGAAAATTAGAAAACATTGTTAAGAGAAAATAAAGATTTAAATCAAAGAAGACCTAAATCCTTACTTAAGGTCAGAAGATTTAATATCGTTAAGATGCGAAGTATATCCAAATTTATCTATAGATTCAAAGTAATTGCAATAAAAATTCTAGTAGGCTTTTACTAGAAATAGACAAGTTATAAAATTGATACTAAAATGCAAAGAAATTAAAATAGACCACTTTTAGGAGTGAAAAACAAAGTTGGAGATTTTTTATTATTATTATACTTTAAGTTTTAGGGTACATGTGCACAACGTGCAGGTTTGTTACACCTGACCCCACACCAAACTATTATCTAAGACCATGTGATACTGACAACAAGATAAATAGGTCAATGAAACAGAGTAGAAAGTCCAGAATCAGACTCATTCTGATAGGTGCAGTAATATGAATGATTGAGTTTTAATCAAGTTGCAAAGACAATTCAATTGAATTTTGATTTTCTTTTCAATAATGAAAAAATGATTTTATTTTCAATAAATGGCACGGAATATTGAGATGCAAAAAATAAACCTAAATTCATTCCTCTCATCATATAAAAATTAATTCAAAATGGATCATAGACCTAAATATAAAACTTTATAAAACTGAAAATAAATGGGAGAAAATATTTGTGAACTTGGGTAAGGCAAAGATTTCTTCCAAAAACATTACCTGTAAAAGAACAGATTGACAAACGAACTTCATCAAAATCAAAACATAGTCTCCTTAAAGGAAATTATTAAAAGATTGAAAAGACAATCTGTAGACTGAGATAAAATATATTTGCAAACTGTGTATCTGATAACAGAATCCACATAAAGATCTTTTAGAAGTCAACAGTAGGAAAATCGACAACAGCCCAATTAAAAACTGGCAAAAGATTAAAGCAGACACGTTACTGAAGAAGAACTAACAATGGAAAATAAGCACAAAAAAAAAGTTTGTCATCTTTAGTTACTAGAGAAATATAAATTGAAAGCAAAAGATACCACTGCATTTGTGATAGAAGATTTAAAAGTAATGGCAGACCATGCCAAATGTTAGTGACGATGTGGAGTAACAGGAACTCTCATACACTGCTGGAGGGAATATAAAATGGTCCAACGCCTTTGGTAAATAGCTTGGCAGGTATTTTTAAAAAGTTAAGCCTGCACCTAATGTATGACCCAGCCACTCCTCTTCTCCATATTTACCAAAAAGAGAGCATATGTCCATGTAAGGACTTGCACACAAATATTCATAGCAGCCTTATTTGTAAAAGGCAAAAGTTGGAAATAAATATCCACTAACCAATGAATAGCTAAAAATATAGTGGTATACTCATACAATGAAATACTATTCAGAAACGAAAATTAATGAACTGCTGATAGGTGCAGTAATATGAATGCTGTAAAACATGTGACTACAAAATTTTACTAAGTGAACGGAATAAGATGAAGAAGAGTACATATTGTATGATTTCATTTATAGAAAACTTTGGAAAATATAAATTAATCCATAATAACAGAAAGCAGATCAATGGTTGACTGTGGGAAGAGGGACACAGGCAGGAGGGAGAGATTACAAAATATCTCGAAGAAGCTTTTGGAGGGATGGATGTGTTCATTGTCTTGTTTGTGGTGATGGTTTCATAGGTACAGATTTATGTCAAACTGTATCAAATTGAACACTTTAAACATTTTGCTGAATGTTGATTATTCTCTAATGAAAATGTAAACGAGATGAACAGAGCAGAACTCCTTATAATAAATGCAAGGGTAATTTGATAAAATTAGTTGCTTTTAACGTTACTCTTATTTGAAGTTATGTTTGATATGTTGGAGTTTTGATGAAACCAAAATATTTAGTCAGTCTGTGGGTTTGTTCTGGAGGCAGATTAACATGTATTTTGGAGACTAGCTGGCTTCTTCCTTGGCTGATTTAAATTCTGTGCTGCAGAGGTGAATTCATCTGTATGCAATCCATGTACTTCACCAGCAAACACAGACTCTGTGAGTCTAAGAGTAAATCTGAGCATGCATTCTGGTTGTACTGTGAGTGAACTGAGACTCAAATGACCTTGAGCTTGACCATATCTAACCTGCAGAGAAAAATAACATCTTTGTTGTTTGTTAAGTTAAACAGAGTTGATTAATTTTCATTATACATATAGAATCATGTGTTAATAATACCCTGCACAAATATTTTTAATGACGTCAATCAATTAATTCTCTTAAAAAAAGTCTCTATCTCAGGGAAGAATGGAACAATTCTTCAGTTTATGCCGATTTAATCTGGGGGATAAACTAGAGCATTCTTAGCATTTAATGTCTCTTTTTCATGTAACTTCTAAAGGCTTTGTAATCAGGTAAGGCTGGTTGTGTGTGTGTGTGTGTGTGTGTGTGTGTGTGATGTATATTAGTCATACTTCTTGTGTTAGTCTGTTCTGCATTGTTATAAAGGAATACCTGTTATAAAGGAATACCTGAGGCTGGGTAATTTATAAAGAAAAGAGGTTTATTTTGTCTCACAGCTCTGCAGGCTGTACAAACATGGCACCAGCATCAGCTTGTCTTCTGGCGAGGACCTCAGGAGGTTTACAATCATGGCAGAAGGTGAAGGAGGGGTAGGTGCATCACATGGTGAGAGCAGGAACAAGAGAGAGAGGAGGAGATGCCAGGCTCCTTTAAACAAGCAGCTTTCACATGAACTAACAAAGGGAGAACTCACTCATTACTGCAAGGATGACGCTAAGCCCTTCATGAGGGATCCACCCCCATGAACCTAACACCTCCCACCAGGCCCTACCTCCAATGTTGGAGAATCACATTTCAGCATGAGATTTGGAGGAGACAGAACATCCATACCATACTAATTCTCCAAAGAAAAAAAACCAATAGGAGATCTCAGCTGGATAGATAGATAAAGATAGACATCTATCTATCTTCTATTTATATCCATATATTTCTGCATATATAGATATAGGTATATATACATATATATGGATTTATTATAAGGAATTGGCTTAAGCAATTATAAAGACAAAGAGTTATTTATATATTTATTTTTTGAGACAGAAGTTCGCTCTTGTTGCCCAGGCTGGAATGCAATGGCGTGATCTTGGCTCACCACAACCTCCGCCTCCTGGGTTTAAGCGATTCTGCTGCCTCAGCCTCTTGGGTAACTGAGATTACAAGCATGTGCCATCACACCTGGCTAATTTTGTATTTTTAGTAGAGACAGGTTTCTCCATGTTGGTCAGGCTGGTCTCGAACTCCTGACCTCAGGTGATCCACCTGCCTCGGCCTCCCAAAGTGCTGGGATTACAGGCGTGAGCCACCACGCCCAGCCAAGACAGAGAACTCTTATTATCTTCCCTTTGCCAGCTGGAGACCCAGGAAAGCAAGTAGTGCAGTGCAAGTCTGAAGATCTGAGAAACAGGGGACCTAATGGTGTAAATCCCCATCCAAGGAAAGGAGAAGACTGATGTCCTAGCTCAAGCTGTCAGGCAGGAAGAGCAAATTCTCCCCTTCTCCAGTATTTTTTTTTTTTTTGTACTATTCAGGACCTCAATTAATGTACATTGACACCACACTGGGAAAGGCAATCTGATTCATCCAGTCTACCAACTCAAATGCAAATCTCATTTGGAAATACCCTCACAAACACAGTCAGAAATGTTTTTAGCTTAATATTCGGCCATTCTATGGATCCAGTCAAGTTGACACATAAAATGAGCCATCATAATATGCTCATGCATATTTTCCTATTTCTTCTAAGTGTCCAAATATGTGGAAAAGGTAATTTAGGGTGGATTAGGCACTGAACTGAGAATCACAATACCTGGCTTTGATTTTCCAGTTTTTCTACTTTTCAGTTCTTTGAATTTAGACAAATTATCTTACAAAATATAAGTTACCTATTCCTAACACGAAATAAATACATGAATCACCAGGCTTGTCTATTATGTGTTCCAAAAGCACTTTGCAAACTGCACAGAGCCATGCATATTAAAATGTTATTGGTAGCTGAACTGAAGAAGTCTTAGATTAAGCATAACATAAGCAGTGTGTGAGTTTGGGGCAAATCCTAGCTCTCCATCCCCACCCCCACCCAGCTGTGTGACCTTGGAAAAGCTACCTATCTCTCTGACCTATAAATTCTTTAGCTGTAAGATTAAAAATCTACCTAAAAATGTTATGATGATAAAATAAAGCAATTTATGATCATATGGAAGGTTGCTCAATAAAAGCAATTATTATTATGACAAAGTATCATTCAAATCAAATTCTGAGTAGAAATATTTCTCAATTTTTATGATCAGAAAAATGTGTATTTTAAAAAGGAATTATTAAATTCTAGACAGGTATAAACACTTCAACTGGGACTGCCAAATCTTTGAATGTTTAGAGTTAGATCTTGAAGTTTAAATGTATTCTTTTAAAATGAGAATCTTTCCATCATTCTATAATAAGGAATTCTATTTCTGAGAAAAGATTGATATGCCGTACACTGGTTTTAATGAATAATTTTTAAAATAATTCAGACAGTCCACACTATAGTCAAATGAATGGTAATCCATCATTTCAGAGTAAATACTATGAATGTAAAAATTGCACAAATACATTTATTGATGCCACGAAAACTGGGGACACGAGAGATGATAAAATCTTTAAGTTAATGTCAGTTTTATTTAGGAGTTTTACCTATAAGGTCTGGAATGTTTTCTCCAGTGGCAGGTCATTATTTAAGACAGAAAGCAGCAGATATGTTAGAACCACCCTTAGTATAGCATGGCCTGTGTCAGAGATGTTTACATAGATGAGTGAAGTAATGTTATTTGGTCAAGAGTTAAGGAATGATGAGAAAGCAACAGATGAAAAGAAGTAATTAAAATAGGTGAATGTGTTCATCATGGAGGTGGGTACAAGGGACGGTAGTTGCCCAGGACAATGAGGACTTGACTCTGTTTGCAGGACTTAGGAAAAGTTTCAATGAGGAAATAACTTTTGAGGTCATTCTCAAAGGGTGAGTGGATGTTTTCCAGGGAAACAATAGGGGAAAACATGCATGAAGAGGACAAGTGTGTTTGGGGAGCAGTGAGTGGTTAAGTACATAGTAGGTTGCAGGATTCAGAGCAGTGGGAGGGGGAGCTGAAGAGGCAACCTGAGGAACAAATGAGGATGGTCCTTTCATATAATTTATGTAAGAATTTTCACGAAGTCAGAGTCAATGGTAAAGTCTGCTGCATCTGATTCACTAACATTTCTGGCATTCTCCAGTTTTTGCTATGGGTTGTGGGGTTGATTGCTTCAGGGAAGTACTGCTGATACAGTGAGAATCTATGTACCAAGCGGTAGCATAGATTCTTGTGTAGCTCCAAATGCTCTGAGATGTGTGGATGTTGTATCCCTGAAAAACTCAATTTCTACGTCCCTAAAAACCAACCAGCCAACCAACAAACAACAAACACTTTTATATGGATGAATGTTCAGGTCTTTAGCTATCCTAGAAACATACTGCTACAGTGGTGTTGTGGCCTTCATTGTGGATGGGATAAAGGAGGTGTTGTGGTACCTTGAGCCTGAGAGTCTCATTGTTGCTTCTCAGGTAACTGTTGCCTGAGGAACTCTACCCCAGGCAGTTTTACATCTCCTCTGAAAGGCAGCATACTACAAATTCAGAAGGAAGTGGCTCATAGGTGTCATATGTTTCAGAAAGCACTCCAGTCATTCATAATCATGCCATTCATTCCTTACTCAAAAGTGTCGGGAGCATCCCTGATGTTCAAGACCCTATGGGCAATGCCAAAACCTGACCCCACCTCACCTTGCAAAAGCTATCACGCAACTGAGGAGGAAGTTCCACACTTGGGTAGTTAAACAACTTAAGATGACCACCTTGTTGGGTGTCCAAAAAGGGGCACAGATAGTCCAAGCTGATAGAACTCAAAGACCTCTGAGCCATGTGGTCAGGGCCAGTTTTTTTGGAGAAAGTGGCTGTTATGGTTAATATTGCATGTCAACTTGATTGGATCGACGGCAAAGTATTGTTCCTGGGTGATTAACATTTGAATCAGTGGACTGGGAGAGCCAGACCCACCCTCAATCTGGGTGGGCACCATTAATCAGCTGCCAGTGTGGCTAAGATAAAGCAGGCAGAGGAAGATGGAAGGAGCTGACTTGCTGAATCTTCTGGACTTTCTCTTTCTCCCACGCTGGATGCTTCCTGCCCTCGAACATCAGACTCCAAGTTCTTTAGCTTTTGGACTCTTGCACTTTACACCAGTGGTTTGTCAGGGGCTCTTGGGCCCTTGGTCACAGACTGAAGGCTGCACTGTTTGGCTTCCCTACTTTTGAGGTTTTGGGACTCAGACTGGCTTCCTTGCTCCTCAGCTTACAGATGGCCTACTGTGGGACTTCACTTTGTGATCATGTGAGTCAATATTCCTTAATAAACTCCCCTTCATATATACATATATCCTATTAATTCTGTCCCTTTAGAGAACCCTGGCTAATACAGTGGCCTTGAAGGACAGTTAGTGGTTAAATGGATTTATAAGAGAGAGTATTCAAGTCAGAAAAAGATGAGAGAAGAGGCCCAGAGGCACAGGCAAAGCCTCCTCCTTCCCGCCTGTGTCTCTTTAGAATCAGTTCAGCCCCCCTTCTGTCTACCCACTGAAGCCTGCTTTCCTGGCTCAAGTGTGCTGGAGTTCTTTGCCTTCTGCTTGTCTGCTTGTCTCAGCATTGTAGTTCTAGCCATTAGAAAATTGGAGTGATTTTGCCCCAAGCCCCTGCTCCCATCAGTGGTCATTTCTGGTTGCCAGGGCTGCAGGTGTATGTTACTGGCATCTAGTCTGTTGGGGTCAGGGATACTGCTAAACATCCTATGAAGCAAAGAATTACGTGTGTGTGTGTGTGTGTGTGTGTGTGTGTGTGTGTGTGTGTGTGTGTGTGTGTGTGTGTGATTTTACAAAATAAAGAATTATCTGGTTTAAAATGTCAATAGCACCAAGGTTGAGAAAACCTGGCTTATTCTCTTCAACCCTTGCCCTCCCACCCTCACTGAAAAATGATGCTTTAATAAGAATGTTTTTCAAACTCAGCAGTCACCCTTAGACATAATTGTGACATTTCTCCTGGAAGCAGGCACTAAGGCTCCAGCTCTGAGGACCCCATCAAAGAGGCCTGCCCCTTGCCCACCTCTCCAGCTGTGGCAGGGGTCAGATAGTCAGCAGAGTCACATGCTATGAAGGGTCAAAGAGGAGAAGGAGAGGAAAGGTCTTGCCAGTGAGTTTGTAGATTATAGCCCCATTGAGTTTCTTTAGAAAAACAATTTCTGTCAATCAGTAGAGATGGAAATGTTAAGGAGCTAAGGAAATGTCAAGATGTTAAGGAGAAAAAGCACAATCAGAATATGGAGACAAAAAGAATGTGTGTACAGGCATACTTCATTTTATTGTGCTTTGCTTTTTTGCATTTTTTTTACAAATTGAAGGTTTGTGGCAACCCTGCATTGAGCAAGTCTGTGGGCACCATTTTTTCCAGCAGCTTGGGATCACTTCAAATTTTTGTGTCACATTTTGGTAATTCAAAATTTTCACAATCTTTCAAACATTTTTATTAGTATTATGGTGATTTGTGATCAGTGACTTTTATTTTATTTTATTTTATTTGTTTATTTTTTTGAGACAGGGTCTTATTCTGTTGCCCAGGCTGGAGTGCAGTGGTGCGATCATGGCTCACTACAGCTTCCACCTCCCTGGGCTCAGGTGATCCTCCAACTTCAGCTTCCCAAAAAGCTAGGACTGTAGACATATTTAATTTTTTTTTTTTTTTCAGAGATGGTGTTTTGCCATGTTGCCCAGTCTGGTCTGGACTTCCTGGGCTCAAGTGATCCACTTACCTTGGCCTCCCAAACTGTTGGGATTATAGGCACGAGTCACCGTGCCCAGCCCAGTGATCAGTGATTTTTCATGTTACTCTTGTATGTTGTTTTCATGCCTGCAAACACCACATTCATTCTACAGCCCATGGATTAAAGAATAATTTTGACTTTTAAGTCTTATTATTTAAGAAATATATTTTGTAAGGCTATAGCTATGAAAGGTCATGATTCTGCTTATGGATGTGGGCAAAGTAAACGGAAAGTCTTCTGGAAAGGATTCAGCAATCTAGAGGCCATTGAAAACATTCATGATTCATGGGAGAGGGTCAAATATCAACATTAGTGGGAGTTTGGAAAAAGTTAATTCCAATCTTCATTATCGAGGGGCTCAAGAATTCAGTAGAGGAAGTAACTGCAGTTGTGGTGGAAATAGCAAGCGAATTAAATGTGGAGCCTGAAGATGTGACTGAATTGCTATGATCTCATGAAAAAACTTGAGTGAATGAGGAGTTGCTTCTTATGGGTGAGCAAAGAAAGAAGAAAGTGGTTTCTTGAGATGAAATCTACTCCTGGTGAAGAGGCTATAACCACTGTTGAAAAGACAATGAAGGATTTAGAATATTATATGACTTTAGTTGATAAAGCAGCAGCAATGTTTGAACAAAACAGACTTCAATTTTGAAATAAGTTCTCTTGTGGGTAAAATGCTGTAAAACAGCATTACATCTGACAGAGAAATCTTTTGTAACAGAGTCTGTGCAGCAAACATCATTGTTATCTTACTTTAAGAAATTGCACAGCTATCCCAGCCTTCAGCAACCACCACCCTGATCAGTCAGCAGCCATCAACATCGAGGCAAGGCTCTTGATCAGCAAAAAGATTATGAGTCACAGAAGGCTCAGATGGTTGTTAGCAATTTTTTTTAGCAATAAAGCATTTATTAATGAAGGTATTTAGTTTGTATTTAAAGATCTAATACTATTGCACATTTAATAGACTCCAGTATAGTGTAAATATAACTTTTATATGTGTTGGGGAACTGAAAATGTTGTGTGGCTGGCTTTATTGCAGTATTTGCTTTATTACAGTGTTCTAAAACTTAACCTGCAATATTGCCAAGGTTTGCCTGTATTAGTTTGCTAGGGCTACTGCATTTGAGTACCACCAACTGGGTGGCTTAAACAACAGAAAGATAATGTCTCACAGTTCTGGAGTCTAGAAGGCCAAGAGCAAAGTGTCAACAGGGTTGGCTCCTTCCCAGGGCTGTGTAGAATATTCTTTTGCTGCCTCTCTCCTAGCTTCTGTTGGCTTGCTGGCAATGTTAGGCACAAAAATCATCACTGTATTCTTTGCCTCCACCTTCACATGGTATTCTCCCAGAGTACGTGTGTCCCTGTGACTAAATTTGCCCTTATGACTTTCAATGGCAAAAACGGCACTTACTTTTGGACGAACCTAATATTAAAAACACATTCATATTGGATTAGAGCCTGCGCTAATGACCTTGTCTTAACTATCTCTGCAAAGACCCTATTTCCAAATAAGATCACATTCTGAGGTACTAGGTTGGGGTTAGGACTTCAACATGTGAATTTTGTGAGGATACAATTCAACCCAGAACAACATGCTAATCATTTTCCCTTCCTGGAAATTTCCATAGCACAACTTTGCACTTTGGAACAATCATGGAGTTCACGTCTTTCACCTTTATATGCAGGGAGACAATTCCTTCAAGGAGCTGTGAGTTTCCTGAAGGGAGAGGTTTGGGCAAATAAACATGCAGAGAGACTATGAAAATTAAACATAAATTAAAAAATATTTTGAAGATTTAAAATATTGTGGCACTAAATGCTATTTTATTTTGTTGACAGTTCTTGCTGTGTTTCTTGTATTTCTTCTCTGTTTAGGGATCATAAAGCACTTGAATTTGAGATAACTGAATTACCCATGTGGTCTGCATTTTACTTTTTCCACTTTATTTTATTTTATTATGTTCTGTTTATGTTTCTCTATTGACAGAGTGGCCATCAGTGGGAAGAAAATCTTTTTATGTAGATAAAAATCTGTGATGGTTGGAGCTGTTGGAGTAAAGAAAAAAGAAATGTAGATGCACCAATAAACGAAATGCCTTTTGAAATATTTATCTAATCACTGTAAGATCTTACTACTGGTTTTAGAGATATAACTTTATAAAATTTATTACTCATGTGATATTTCTCTGAGATGCTTTGATCTGTGAATTCATTTTGTTTCAGCTCCTCCCCTCAGGTCTGGCTCATACAAGCTTCTTTGCAGCTACCAAAACCCACCAGCTTAAGGACTGTGTTTTCAGTTTTTATACAGTCAACGTCTATTTAATATGTGACACATACTAGGTGCAAAGTCTATGTGTGTGAAACTAGTTCATAATTTAATGGATTTAATTTATTGATTTCTAGACTAATAGGATTTGTGATTCATGTAGAGGAAGATGAACATTTATCTCTAATCCCAGGCTTCAACTTTGTAACCCTCATCAGCCTTTTCCACTCTGGCTAGAGTTTCAGGGCCTTTTCTAAGTGTGCTGCAGCCCAGGTCTCTTCTTAGGTGAAAGTGGGTGGGGTAATAAGGTTAGCCAGAGGAAGAGAATGTCTTTGTCCCACAATCTTTGTCCTACCTAAGAAAGAAAAGGATAAGCTTAAAACAAGTTGGAAAACAGAGGTAGCCAAAGCATCCAGAAAATGTGTGTTGTGCTTCAATATAAGCAGCAGAAATAATGTCAGTTACTCACATTGCTCTACATCTGAGCCTATTTGTACCTTTGGGCTCTGTTAGTCTAGATTGTTTTGGTAGCCTGTGGTTGATGGCTAAAGATAATAGGGTAAAGGCAGATATTTTTACTGCAGTGAAGTATTCAGTATGTAATGCTGCAGCATGGGTAATGACATTTCTCATTAAACAGATGTTTCCTTTAGGAAACATGCTTATCCTTATCTTGCTACTGCTACTCAAACATAAAACATCCTACATTTAATGAGAAAAGTCATTCCTAAAATAGGCCACATGGAGAAGTAGATGGGAGATGGGATCCAAAGATACACATCCCTTTCATCTATTCATGTACTGAATACCTCCTCTGTTCCAGGTTTTACACAAGGCGCTAAGATGTCTGGCATATTTGTACTAAAATGAAAAACCGGATCTCTGCTGTCAAATAATTATCAGTAGACTAGGGGAAATAGAAAAGTAAGCATATACAAATGGCAGTGCACTATGATAATTGCTATAAAGCTTCCATGAGCCCATGGGGAATAAGAAACTAAATCTCCTTTGGGCCCTAAGGGAAAGTCATACGGACAAGAAGTGTTTAAGCTGAAATTTGAAGGTTTTACAAGAGCTTTCCAGGTGGACAAGTCTGGAGAATGCATTTTAAGCACAGAAGTTCAGTGAACTATAAGGAGTTGAGTTCACCTGAAGTGTAAGAATAGTAGAAAAATAAGATAGGCACCTAGGCAGAGTAAGATCATGAAGAGTCTTCTTTGCCAAGCCTGTTGTTTTAGATTTTACCACGCGGGAGATGAAGTATCATTAGTGAATCTTATATAGAAAAGTAGCATGTTCACATTTGCTTATTGAAGTTATTACCATAATAGTGATATTGAGGAGGAGCTGGAAGATGTGTTTCAATGACCATTAATTATCAGTTGATTAATGACTGGAATGTCATGCAGTTAATTAGCAAAGCTGCATGCCTGTTAGTTCTTAGGCTTAGCGTTACATAGGAGGAAAAAAATATAAAGAGGAATGTGCTCAACTGTGGTTAGACAGCCTTGGCATTGAGTCATAGTGGCCTCTCCATGGCCAAACCTACTGTAAACTATTTAATTGGTTCTCCCATCTGTTTCTCTTTCAAGTTTCCTATGTGAAGAGATCAGATATGTAGCTCCCTGGGCATCACAGCTGGCTCATAAAGAAAGATTCCTTTCTGTAGGAAACCAATTTAGCACTAGCCTCTTCTGCCTTATTCTCCTATCACTTTTAAGTGCTCTAATCACAGTCTGTTTTCCAACTAATTAGTGTTGAGACAACTCAGCCCTGAACCTCAACTTGAAAATGCTGGTGTCATGGGGAGAGAGCACTTAATCAAATGACTTGTGATTATTCAACAAAGAGATTTTCTGTGATTAAAACTGCCATACTTTCTAAGGCCTTTGGTCTTCTCTCTTAACACTGGGCAGGCTCTGCTATGGCAAAGCTGCCATGGGCACAGATAACCCAACATGATGAAAAGACTTGCGTTTTCACTGAAATCAGAGTACTTTTAAACAGTTCTCTACTGGCTATTAATTTTTAAAAATATTTGTCTCTTACCATAGGAATGGTTAAATAACTTAGTTTTATAGGACAGCTTGTCTTGTCCTCACAAGCTTTTCAGTCTGTAAACATTACTGCAGGTCTAATTGTGTTAAAATATTTATTTTCTTGTTTCCTTGGAGTATTTTCTGCCAGAAGAAATACTTTTTTTTGGTATATGTTCTTGACAGTAAGTAAGCTTCTAACTTGGTCTCTTCTAGATGTGGGAGGCAACTTGGGAGCAGTGGAAGAGTCTCTGGATCCTTGAGACAGGCAGATCTTGGTTAGAATAAAACCCCTCGGCCGGGCACGGTGGCTCACGCCTGTAACCCCAGCACTTTGGGAGGCCGAGGCAGGCGGACCACCTGAGGTCAGGCGTTTGAGGCCAGCCTGGCCAACATGGTGAAACCCTTTTTCTACTAAAAATACCAAAAATTAGTCAGGTGTAGTTGCAGGTGCCTGTAATCCCAGCTGCTCAGGAGGCTGAGACAGGAGAATCACTTGAATCCAGGAGGCGGAGGTTGCAGTGAGCCGAGATTGCATCATTGCACTCCAGCCTGGGCAACAAGAGTGAAACTCCATCTCAAAAAAAAAAAAAAAAAAAGAGGATTAAACCCTTCACTCATTGTGTAATTTCAGACAAAGGACTGTGCCCATCCTTTTAGAAATGAAGCTGACATATACTTCTTAAAGTTCTTATGATAATAAAATGAAATAAATTATCTAAAATACTTCCTAAAGCATCTGCTAAGGTCTGAAGGGATTATTTAGTAACAGCTAAATTGTAGTTGTTTAAATAGAAACCATAGTGCTTTGTTTTCTGGTCTCTCATAATCTTCCCTAAATATTTGCTTTTCACATGGCTTTCTTACTAGGTTTCATGAACCAGAAAAAACAATAAATTCACTTAAAAGTAAGTAACTTGTTAATATGATGAGTATTACTTACCAGGTTGCTCTGGGAGGATACTGACAATCCTCAAAGTCTGAACTTGTAGATTAAGCTTTAGTAACTTTACTCACAGCTAAGACAGTGCTAAAATGGTGTGATTTTCCTCTGCAGACTTTGCATGGGCTCCATGCAAGGATCGGAGTGCCCTTCAGACCTTGGATTCTGAGGACTGCTTGTCAAAACTGACTTTTTCCCATCAGACACTGCCAGCCCTCTAATTTGTTTCCATTTGTTTGTGATAATGAATCCTTGAATTGGCTCCTCTAAAGCAAGTTCAAACATGTTAACAGCATTTGGTGAAATATTGATGATCTCTTCTCCTAAATGGTAGCATTTGCAGTCCAGAAAAGCGAGAGCATTAAGTGCAGTCTATAGGCAGTGGAGAAATAAATCTTTCCCTGTATAATCACATGCTGGGGGAATTTACATTGAAGGGCTTCTTCTAAGCCATGTATTCATGGACAGGGTAAGGAATAAAAGTAGCAAGATAGGGTTGGTGGTAAGAATAGGGGCTTTGGAGCCAGGCAAATGTGATTTGTATTCCAGCTCTGATTCTCACTAGCTCTGTGACCCTGGACCAGGAATTGAGTTCCTCATGCCTTCAGTTTTATCCTCAGCAAATATAGACAACAAATCTAATTTGTAGAATTTGTTTGGAGGATAACAGATAATGTGTGTAAAGTGTGTAGCAGAGAAACTAACACACTGTTGGTGCTTGGTAAGCAGTGGCTAGGATTACTGTCATATGACAGACTAGACAAGGGCTCTGTAACCTCTGACATTAAGTCCACTCTTGCGCTACAACCTTAGTGCACCACCTGGTCTGATGCTGAATAGCTAACCATAGATAGGTTGGACATTCTGAGCAATCCCAACACCACAGTGCCTGCCTTCTCCTCACTCTGAGGAAAATCTAATTCATAACCCAGTGGACAACTGCCTGCTGATGAAATTATGCCAGAATGTGAAATGTGACAGAGACTAGCCCTCTGTTTTTCAACTTTCTGTCCTGAGAAGGAAGAAGAGGGACAGTAAGTATTTAAATGAGTCTACTTCAAAGGCCAAATCTCCCTAGGATACAGGCTCTTGGAAAGAGAACAAGGCTGATGTTCTCAGCAAAAGCTGAAATAACACAGGTTCAGAAGGTAGGTGATGGTGAAGCCCTCTAGTGAAAGAATCTGAGACACTCGCTATATTTATGCAAACCTACTCATAGTACGTAGTTTCTTTCTTCTGTTTCTTTGCTCTCCAGTCAAACTAGCCTATATCTAGAACACCACATTTGTTGAACATTGTCATGTCATTATTTCGATTATACTAATTTCATGGCCAAGAATGTTTTTGTTCTATTTTCAGTCTAGATAAACCTACTCATTGTTGGTCCAGAAGCCACGTAGACTGAGTTAAAATTCTGACTCTACCACTCATGTAGCTGTGTAAATTTGGGCATATAATAGAGCCTTTCTGTGCCTTAGTTTTTTAATTAATAAAATGATAAAACATAACAGGCTCCTTGCCACACATAGTGTGGGTGCAGCTGGTGTCACCAGCATCACTAAAGTATTTATTAATAGTGTAGAATCTCAGCCTCCACCTCAGACTTTCTGAATCTCAATCTGAATTTTCACCAGATCCCCAGGAGATGTATATGCACATTAAAGTTCAAGGTGTGCTTATGGTAGCTACATGATAAAGAAATTTTGAGGTTTAATTGCAGTGATAGATATAAAGCAGTTATGTAAAACTAACATACATACTAAGTGCTGAATAAACATTAGCTATTACAATCATGTGCCACATAGCCTAATTTCAGTCAATGATGGACTACATATACCTTGATGGCCTCATAAGTGTAAAATAGAGCTGAAAAATTCCTGTTTTCATAGTCCAACACAGTATCTTTTTTATATTTTGATACATTTAGATAAATGAATACTTACCATTGTGTTACAATTGCCTACAGTATTCAGTATGGTAACATACTGTGCAGGTTTGTATCCTAGAAGCAATAGGCTACACCGTATAGCCCAGGTGTGTAGTAGGGTATACTGTGAGGTTTAATTGACTCACAGTTCAGCATGGGTGGGGAGGCCTCAGGAAACTTACAATCATGGTAGAAGGGGAAGCAAACATGTCCTTCTTCACATGGCAGCAAGAAGGACTACTGAGCAAAGGGGAAAAAGCCTTTTATAAAACCATCAGATCTCATGAGAACTTACTCACTATAATAAGAACAGCAGCATGGGTGTTACCGCCCTCATGATTCAATCACCTCCCACTGAGTCCCTCCCATGGACATGTGGGGATTTTGGGAATTACAATTCAAGATGAGATTTGGATGGGGACACAGCCAAATCATATCATTCCACCCCTGGCCTCTCCCAATCTTATGTCCTCATAGTTCAAAACAGAATCGTGCCTTTCCAACAGTCTCCCAAAGTCTTAACTCATTCTACCATTAACCCAAAAGTTCAAGTCCAGGGTCTCATCTGAGACAAGGCAAATCCCTTCCACCTATGAGCCTATAAAGTCAAAAGCAAGTTAGTTACTTCCCAGATACAATAGGGGTACAGGCATTCAGTAAATACACCCATTCCAAATGGGAGAAATTGGCCAAAGTGAAGGGGCTGCAGGGCCGATGCAAGTCTGAAATCTAGTGGGGCAGTTGAATCTTAAAGCTCCAAAATGATCTCCTTTGACTCCATGTGTCTCAAACTGAGGTCACACTGATGCAAGAGATGAGCTTCCATAACCTTGAGCAGCTCTGCCTCTGTGGCTTTGCAGGGTAGGACCACCTTACCAGCTGCTTTCACAGGCTGGTGTTGAGTGCCTGTGGATTTTCCAGGTGCACGGTGCAAGCTGTTGGTGGATCTGTCAGTCTGGGATCTGGAAGATGGTGGCCCTCTCATTACACATCCACTAGACAGTGCCCCAGTGGATTCTGTGTGGGGGATCTGACCTCACATTTCCCTTCCACACTGCTCTAGCAGAGGTTAACCATGAGGGCTCTGCCCCTGCAGCAAACTTCTGCCTGGACATCCAGAATTTTCCATACATACTCTGAAATCTAGTGAGAGGTTCCCAAACCTCAATTCTTGACTTCTGTGCACCCAAAGGCCCAACACCATGTGTAAGCCACAAAGGCTTGGGGCTTGCACCCTCTGAAGAAATGGCCTGAGCTCTTTGTTGGCCCCTTTTAGCCATGGCTGTGATGCAGGGCACCAGGTCCCAAGACTGCAAAAACCAGCAAGGCCCTGGGCCCAGCTCATGAAACCATTTTTTCCTCTTAGGCCTTCAGGCCTGTGATGGGAAAGGCTACTGTGAGACATTTTCCCCATTGTCTTTGCAATTAATATTTGGCTCTTCTTTACTTATGCAAATTTCTTCAGCTGGCTTGAATTTCTCCTCAGAAAATGGGATTTTCTTTTCTCTTGTATCCTAACACTACAGATTTTCTGAACTTCTATCCTCTGCTTCCCTTTTAAACATAAGTTCCAGTTCCAAACCATATTTGGAATACATAAAACGGAATGCTTTTAAGAGCACCAAAGTCACCTCTTGAATGCTTTGCTGCTTAGAAATTTCTTCCATCAGATACCCTAAATTATCTCTCTCAAGTTCAAAGTTCCACAGATCTCTAGGACAGGGGCAAAATGCTGCCAGTCTCTTTGCTAAAGCATAGCAAAAATCAGCTTTATTCCAGTTTCCAACAAGTTTTTTATCGCCATCTGAGACAACTTCAGCCAGGACTTCATTGTCTATATCACTACAGCATTTTGGTCAAAGCTATTCAACAAGCCTCTAGGAAGTTCTACCCTTTCCCACATCTTCCTGTCTTCTTCTGAGCCCTCCAAAGTATTCCAACCTCTGCTTGTTACCCAGTTCAAAAGTTGCTTTTACATTTTTGTGTGTCTTTACAGCAGCACCCCACTCTCTGTGATACCAATTTACTGTATTATTTCATTCTCACACTGCTGTAAACAACTGTTGTATACTGGGTAATTTATAAAGGAAAGAGGTTTAATTGACTCACAGTTCAGCATGGCTTGGGAGGCCTCGGGAAACTTACAATCGTGGCAGAAGGGGAAGCAAACATGTTCTTCTTCACATGATGACAGGAAGGAGAAGTGCCAAGCAAAAGGGGGAAAAGACCATTATAAAACCATCAGATCTCATGAGAATTCACTCACTATCATGAGAATAGCAGCATGGAGGTAACTGCCCCCATAATTCAGTTATCTCCTACCAGGTTCCTCCCACAATACATGGGGATTGTTGGAACTACAATTCAAGATGAGATTTGAGTGAGGACACAGCCAAACCATATCTGATGTTCTGAGAAATTTTTGGAACAGCATAGATGTTTAAAGGTTTAGGAGAAATAAAAGGTGTAACTTCTGAGTACATGTAATCATTTGCGTGAAACTTAAATTTTGAGATGGAAGTAGTAGGTTTCAGGGAGCAAGAATTGATATGTGTTGCTTGAATAGAGAGTTCTTTGCAGAACTGTAACAGAAAACACAAGATGTAGTAGATTCACATACTGAAGATCTGGAGTACCAAGCTAAGAAGTTTGAAAATAAGAAATCTTTGAAAGTTTTTGAGTTGGAAGTGACATGCTGAAAGTGTCTTTAAAAAAATAGAAAAAAGGACCAGGCACAGTGGCTCAGCCTGTAATACCAGCACTTTGGGAAGCCAAGACGGACAGATCACTAGGTCAGCAGTTCGAGACCAGCCTGAGCAACATGGTGAAATCCTGTCTCTACTAAAAACACAAAAATTAGCCAGGCGTAGTGGTGGGCACCTGTAATCTCAGCTACTCAGGAGGCTGAGGCAGGAGACTCTCTTGAACCCAGGTGGAAGCAGTTGCAGTGAGCAGAGATTGCACCATTGTACTCCAGCCTGGACAATGGAGCGAGACTCCATCTCAAAAAAAAAGAAAAAAAAAAAGAAAAAGAAAAAGAAAAAAAGCTTATTAATTGCATCTGCTTCTCCAGTAGCTCTGTATAGAATGACACTGATTTACACCCATCCAGACTTGCATGAGTGTGTACTAAAAGCATAAGGACAGGGTGACAGAGCCCATGTATTCTAATAAAGCAAAGATTCATTTCACTGACGGTAAGTATCATTTGTTTCTTGCCAAATACTGAGGAGAAACAAACAGCTATCAACTTCATGTTGTCACTATGGATTTAAATATAATTTTTACTTGTCTTAGGTATTGTTTTTACAAATACGTTTCTAATTTCCAAATTGAAAACTTGTAATTTCCCATACACAATTACAGTAAAGTATGGCTGAGCAATTTAAGTGACCATTGTAGGCTCTGAGTTAGAGTTGCTGAAAACCAGCTGATAAGTAGTAAACAGCAGCATTGTGCTGATACAGGTGGTGTGCGGTCAGCTGGCCTAACTCTCTGGTTCCTTCAGTGATTCTCTTGCAGACTCAGTGCTTCAGTAATTTCTCAGTGTCCCCAAGTCACTGGGCAGAATAACAGTTTACAGAACATGCCAAAAATGCGTAGTTTGTTTCCTGTGGATTATACAGGATAGAGTGAGGGCTTTGCAATGTTTTTACTGGAGTTAAATTTATTAAGAGTTCAAGAACAGTTCATTTGTGCTGTAGATAAAAGAAGAAAGAGTCAAAAAAGATCATGAATAAATCAAATCTCTTAAAACTAAAATGCTTGCATCTTTATCTTGTTGACTAATTCTTTTCTGGCCTATGCTCCTTGTGAGCCAGTGTGAAAATTAATATTTTTTTTTAGTTATTGTCCAAAAGATGTGCATACCAGACATGAATACACAGAAGCAGCTCAATAAAAACATACAGTTAAAGCTCAGATTGTCTTTAGGATGTGTCTGCTGGATGTACTGATGGTACTGCTGGTGTTTCATATTAGCAAATGAAACAGTGGCCTAGTCTGGAGTTCCGGGTGGAGTCTCTGCCCATAGCTCCGTGAGGCCATGAATGCCCCTCCCAGAGATCATGCTTACCATTCCCTGGAGAGCCAGTCTGTAATTACTAGCTCCTTGGGAGGAAACAGAGTGACTGAATCACAGCCATGTGTAAAAGGCATTGACAGAAGAGCCTTGCTAGAGGGTGAGGGGAAGACACAGGGCAAAGGGTGATAACATACATTATTTTTATCCATAATAAAATGTAATACCTTGTAAATAAGAGCTATCTGTTGCATGTATACTATGCACCAGTTATTGTATAATAGTTCATAGGCATTATATCGCTTATTATTTATAAAACCCTGTTAAGTAGTATTAATATTTTTTCTCAATTTAATACAAGAAGGCACTGAAGTCTTGGAGCTTATGCAACCATCTGTAGTCAAGGAGCTTAATAAAAATCAATTTTGTTGTTCTAATTGTGGAATTTTAGTGAATTTGCACATTTATTCAAATATATTTATTCATTTTTTTCCTGATGAATGACTTAGGATGCTCCTAGAGCTAACATTTTAAGATTTTATAAATAAAAGAAATAGTTATCCTGAGGCTTTTCTGGATATTGAGTCTTGAGAATGACAGTTCATTTCAGGACAAGTCAAAATTTTATTTGCAATGTTAAAATTGTTTTATCCATCAGAGATGAAGGAAAAAAAACCCCACAAGACTTCGTTGGATGCAGATCACATATGTACCTGACTTTGTGATAAGGAGAGAGAGAGAGAGAGAGGAGATTCCAGAGGGAAAGGGTGATGGAGGGTTGGGTGGGGAAAGTAGGAATTTGTTGTCCATGGAGGGAAATAGAGCGTTTAAAACCAGAAAACAGCATTCATTTCACTGTCTCACCCCTTCAGACCAACTCACGTTGTTGGGATAGTTTGAAGTTGGGTATTGTGATGCCTCCAGCTTTGTTCTTTTAGCTTAGGATTGCCTTGGCTATTCGGGCTCTTTTTCTGGTTCTATATGAATTTTAAAATTAGTTTTTTTCTAGTTATGTGAAGAGTGACATTGATAGTTTAAGTCACAAGTGGCTATTGAGGACTTGAAACCTGCCTAATGCAAGTGAGGAATTAATGAGAATTTAAATTTAATTAAAGTAAGTATTTAAGTATATTTGAAACAGGTTGCATATGTGAATCCACTTTTTAAGCTTTATATTTTATAAAATGTAAATACACATCCAGTGTTTCTAATGAAAATTTAGCATCTAAATTGAGATGTGCTGTAAGCATAAAATATACATGGAATTGAAGGCTTCATACAAAATGAAAGGATGGAAAATTTCTTGATAATGTTTATGTTGAATACCTGTTGAAATCATATTTTTTACTATTGAGTTAAATGAAATCTATTATTAAATATAAAAAAGTCAATACCAAAAAATCTAATGAAAGATGTACAAGACCTCTGTACCATTGCAACTCAAAGTATGTCCGTGATTTTGTTTACTAACACTTAGTGGTAAGTACAAAAAGTAACAGTAAATGTTTAGAAACTTTTATAGTGATTTAACATTACGGCAATATTCAAGCCTGTATTTCAACCATTGAAAAGTGTGTGAAACTCTTTGCATTATTTTGGACTTAGCTTGTAAGTCACGTGTGCTACAAACTATGACCTGGCAATGTTTAGAAGCTATCTCAGTCAGTTTGGGCTACTATAACAAAAATACCATGCACTGGGTGGCTTAAGAAACAAACATTTATTCTAACATTTATAGAAGTTGGGAGTCCAAGATCAAAGCCCTGGCAGATCTAGGTGAGGGCACTCTTCCTGGTTTGTAGATGACTGTCTTCTCTTTGTGTTCTAATATGGGGGAAAGAGAAAGATTTAATATCTCTTCCTAGTAAAAAGAGCATTAATAATAATAAGAATATTAATCTCATCATGAGGGCTCCCATGACCTAATCTAACTCTAATTACTCCAAAAGGGGGCCTACCTCTAAATATCATCACATTGGGGATTAGTGTTTCAACATACAAATTTGGGCGGAAACATCAAAATTGAGTTCACAGTATTTTGCCACTGCTCTCAAAATTCATGTCCTTCTCATACATTATACAAAGCACATTCATTCTATTGCAACAGCCCTTGAAGTCTTAATTTGTTCCAACATCAAATCTAAAGTCTAAAATCCAAAGTATCACCTAAGTATCATTTTAATAAGATATGAGTGAGACTCCAGGTACATACAGTTCATCCCGAGGAAAAATTTCTCTCCATCTATGAACATGTAAAACCAAAAAAGTCATATTCTTCCAAATTACAATGATGAAAAAGGCATAGAATAGACATTCCCATGCCAAAAGGGAGGCATAGAAAAGCAGGAAGGAGTGATGGGTTCTAAGCAAGTAGAAAACCTAGTGAGACAAACTCCATAAAATCTTGTCTTGAGAATGATCCTATTGGCCAGATGCTCTGACTTCTGGACCCACTATGATGGCAGTCTTGCCCCTGTAGCTCTGCTGGGTGGGGGTGATGCTCACAGGGTGCTGAGTGGCCCCATCACCAAGGATTCAGGAGGCCCCACCCTCAAGGCTTTTGATAAATGCCCTCTGGCTTGGTAAAAGTGAAGCAATGGCCCACCTTTTGAAACCAATAGAGCAACATAAATGATCTTGGAATCACCTTTGGGGTTTGGGGGTTATTCTTCCCATGTCTTGAAAAATAGCACACATTAGCAGCCAAATAGGTCTATGGTCTTGTCGTATAAAATCCAAGTCCATCAGTCTGCTTTCATTCTGTCCCATATCTGACCTCTTCGGTTTAAACTACAGCATTTCAGCTGGGTGTCTGATTAGGTCTGTGGTTCACACCTATACTAATCTTATCTGATTAGGTCTGTGGTACACACCTATACTAATCAGATGGAGGGGCCATAACATCATTAGTTTTCTCTTTAAAAAACATTTTAAAAACTATTTTTTATGATATGGACAGGCTAAGAATTTTCCAAATCTTTAAATTCTGCTTCCTTTTTTGCATAACAATTTCTTCTCAATTTGTTTCTCTCTTATCATATGTTATATAAGCAGCAGCCAAGCTTCTTCTTCAACACTTTGCTTAGAAATCTCCTAAACTAAATATCGAATTTTATCACTTGCAAGTTCTACCTTCCTCAAAACACTGGAACACAAGCACAATTAAACCAAGTTATTTGCCACTTTATGATAAAAAAGATCATATATCCTTCAGCTTGCAATAACATGTTTCTCATTTCCATGTGAAACCTGATGAGAAGGGCTGTTACCATCCCCATTTCAACCAACATTCTGTTTATGGTTATTTATTATTCTCTAAGAAATTGAAGGCTTCCTCTCTAGTTCTAAACTTTTATTTCTGACCTCTCATTAGAATTGCTTTAAAAAATATCCTCACAGCAACCACAGCTTTTTCTTGCATGTACCTCAGAACTCTCCCATATTCTACCCATTACCCAGTTCTAAGACTGCTTCCACATTTTTAAGTATATGCTACAACAGCACCCCACTTCTCAGTACCAATTTCTTTCTCAGGAAGTTCAGGCTGCTATAACAAAAATACCATAGATCAGGTGGCTTAAACAACAAACATTTATTTCTCACTGTGCTGGAGGCTGGAGAGTCCAAGATCAAGGTACCAGCAGATCTAATTTCTGGTGAAGGCCTACTTTGTGGTTTGCAGGTAGATATCTTCTTTTTGTATGCTCACATGGTGGAAAGATAAATATCTGTGTCACTTTTGTAAGGGCATTAATTGCATCATGAGAATCCCATCCTCATGACCTAACCTAACCCTAATTACTCCCCAAAGGGCACCCCTCCAACTGCTATGACACTGGGAATTAGGGTTTCAATATATACATTTTGAAGGAACACAAGCATTCAGTCCATAGCTATGGTCATGCATATATGCATAATATAACTTATATGTTTTATATATATATAAACTTGTGTACACACACACACACACAACATGTAAGTTCTTTATTGAATACGTGTACTGTAAATATTTATTTCTAGGAATATATATATATAGAATCCCTAGAAATAAATAATAAAATGATTGACAGCATAATTTTTAAAAATGGCTAGAGACCTAAAATGAATACTCCATGAAAGATGGTATCCAAATGACCAATAAACCAATGAAAAGGTGCTTACTTTCATTAGTCAGCATAACAATGCAAGTTAAAAATCACACTGGCTTGCTACTACACACTCAATAGAATGGTTAAAATGAAAAAGATGTAAAATGGCAAGTGACGGCAAACAGTTGGAGTAACTGAATCTTCTAGATATTGCTGGTGGGAATCTGATGCTAACAGAACTGTTTGGCTACACCTACTCAAGCTAAACATAAGTATACATCATGAACAAGAAATTTGTACAAATTTTACCAAAAGACATCTTCTAGAATGCTCATAGCCACACTTAGTCTCAAACTGGAGACAAATACTCATCAAGAGTAGAATAGAAAAATAAATGGTTGTATTATTCCATTCCCACACTGCTAATAAAGACATACCCAAGATTGGGTAATTTATAAAGAAAAGAGGTTTAATTGACTCACAGTTCCACATGGCTTGGGAGGCCTCACAATCATGATGGAAGGCAAAGGAGGGGCAAAGTCATGTCTTTCATGGTGGCAGGCAAGAAAGAGAGCATGTGCAGGGGAACTCCCCTTTATAAAACCATCATCTCTCTTGAGACTTATTCACTATCACGAGAACAGCACAAGAAAGACTTGGCCTCATGATTCAGTTACCTCCCACCAGGTCCCTCCCACAACACGTAGAAATGATGCGAGCTACAATTTGAGATTTGGGTGGGAACACAGCCAAACAATATCATTCTGCCCTGGCTCCTCCCAAATCTCATGTTCTAACATTTCAGAACACAATCATGCCTTCCCAACAGTCCCCGAAAGTCTTAACTCATTTCAGCATTAACTCAAAAGTCCACAGTCCAACGTCTCATCTGAGACAAGGCAAGTCCCTTCTGCCTATGAGCCTGTAAAATCAAATGCAAGTTAGTTACTTCCTAAATACAATGAGGCTAAAGGCATTGGGTAAATACATCCATTCCAAATGGAAGACATTGTCCAAAACGAAAGGGCTACAGGCCCCATGTAAGTCTGAAATCCAACAGAGCAGTCATTAATCCTTAAAGTTCCAAAATGATCTTCTTTGACTCCATGTCTTACATCCAGTTCACACTGATGCAAGAGGTGGGCTCCCACAGCCTTGGGCAGCTCTACTTCTGTGGCTTGGCAGGGTACAAGTTCCCTCCTGGGTGCCTTTGCAGGATAGCATTGAGTGTCTGTGGCTTTTTCAGGTGCATGGTGTAAGCTGTTGGCAGCTCTACCATTCTAGGGTCTAGAAGACAGACAGTGACCCTCTCCTCACAGATCCATTAGGCAGTGCCCCAGTAGGGACTCTGTGTAAGGACTCATATCCCACATTTCCCTTCCTCACTGCCCTAGCAGAGGTTCTCAATGAGGGCTGCACATCTGCAGTCCACCTCTGCCTGGACAACCATACATCCTCTGGCATTTCCATACACCCTCTAAAACCTAGGTTCCTCTGCCTGCTTTTATCCTAGCTGCACTGGCAGAGTTTTTCAAATCTAGGCAGATTTTCCCAAATCTCAATTCTTCACTTCCGTGCACCTGCAGACCCAACACCAAGTGTAAGCTACCAAGGCTTGGGGCTTGCACCCTCTGAAGCAACTGCCTGAGCTCTACATGGGCCCCTTTTAGCCATGGTTTGGATGCAAGGTACCAAGTCCCTAGGCTGCACACAGCAGGAGTACACTGGGCCTGGCCCAGGAAGCCATGTTTTCCTCCTAGGCCTCTAGGCCTGTGATGGGAGGGGCTTGCTGGGAAGGTCTCTGACATGCCCTGGAGACATTGTCCCCATTGTCTTGGTGACTAGCATTTGGCTTCTGCTTAGTTATGCAAATTTTTGCAGCCAGCTTGAATTTCTTTCCAGAAAATGGGTTTTTCTTTTCTACTGCACTGTTAGGCTGCAAGTTTTTCAACCTTTTATGCTGTATCACCTCTTGAATGCTTTGCTGCTTAGAAATTTCTTCCACCAGATACCCTAAATTATATATCTCACGGTCAAACATCCACAGATCTCTAGGGCAGGGGCAAAATGTTGCCAGTCTTTTTGTATAGCAAGAGTAACATTTACTCCAGCTCCCAACAATTTTCTTACTTCTATCTGAAACCACCTTGGCCTGGACTTTATTGTCCACATCACTATCAGCATTTTGGTCAAAGCCACTCAACAGGTCTCTAGGATGTTCCAAACTTTCCCACATCTTCCTGTCATCTGAGCCCTCCAAACTGTTCCAGGCTCTGCCTGTTATCTAATTCCAAAGTTGCTTTTACATTTTTGGGTATCTATATAGTGGTGACCCCCTACCAGGTACCAATTTACTTGTGATGGTTAATATTGAGTGTCAACTTGATTGGACACTTGATTGTGTCTGTGAGGGTGTCGTCAAAGAATATTAACATTGGAGTCTGTGAACTGGGAGACAGAGAACCACCCTCAGTCTGGGTGGACACCATCTAATCAGCTGTCAGTGCAGCCAGGATAAAAGCAGGCAGAGGAACGTGGAAGGACTAGACTGGCTAAGTCTTCTGGCCTCCATCTTTCTCCTATGTGGGGTGCTTCCTGCCCTCGAACAGCAGACTCCAAGTTCTTCAGCTTTTGGACTCTTGGGCTTATACCAGTGGTTTGCCAGGGGCTGTCTGGCCCTTGGCCACAGACCAAAGATTGCACTGTCGGCTTCCCTACTTTTGAGGCTTGGGACTCAGACTGGCTTCCTTGCTCCTCAGCTTGCAGACGGCCTATTGTAGGACTTCTTCTTGTGTTTGTGTGAGTCAATACTCCTTAATAAACTCCCTTTCATATATACGTGTATACTAGTAGTCCTGTCCCTCTAGGGAACCCTGATTAATACAATGGTGATATATTTTATTTAGTAGAATATTTTACAACAATTAGGATGAATAACTACAGCTCACCCAACAAGAAGAATCCGACAAATAGTCTTGAAATGAGTCAGACATAAGCAAGAACCTATTGCGTTATTTAATTTATTTCAACAGAAATAAGCAACAGTAATGGATTTTTTAAAAATCCAAAATAGAGATTACCTTTGAGATAAAGTAATGACAGAAAGAAAGTACAAGGTTGACTTCTGAGAAACTCGTTACTATTTCTTGATTTATGTGAGTGCAGTTTGAGACATTCATTGTGTGTATGCTCTTTTTTTCTATGCGTATTTTATCAATCAATCAAATTAGAGAGAGAAAGAGAGAGAGAAAGGTTTTAAGAAAGTGACAGCAGCATGAAGGAAAAAGATTAGATGATAAGCAAAGTCAGATTTTCAATTCTGTAGTTTCCCTAAAGTTGTGCTAGCACTCTTGAATTCACCAAAAGAGTTATAAGGGTCACGCTTACTTTAAAAAGAGAGGTTTAAAATAATAGGTTCTTCAGTGTAGCAACTGTATTTTCAAATATAAATCTGATTTATGCAGTTAGCACTACAGAAGAAAACGCCGCAGGGAGTAACTGTGAAATATATGGAACATAAACGGGTGTAGCAATTCTAGAATTCCCAGCTTGAATCTCTTTCAACCAAGAAAATACACTGTATCTCAGGCCAAGGAAACACTGGAGGTACTGATATTTGATGATTTATTATAAGCAGGAGGCAATGGGATCTAACAGGATCTTTGGTAGCTCAAATTGAGATGCCACATGGTAAGCCAAATACTCTAAAATATGAGTTATTTTAGGTTTTGGTTTAAAAGGAATATTATGCTTAGCATTCCAGCTGAAATAAATGCATAATGTGTGGCTCAAAGGTGTTACTTAAAAGTAATAAACATGCTAATTTAGTTTAGAAAAGGTACTAGGATTATACTTCATTATTTCTAAAAATAAAATTAATGCATGGGCCAGAGTGACAGACACAATCCTGCGGCTTAAAAAATTACAGATGATGAGAACTTTCATTGCTCAGGGTTAGGAGGCGGGTGAAGGCAGACTATTTGAAGCTTTCTGCTTCTACCTCATTTTCTTTGGAGTACTTCCTTTGCTCAATCAGATTTAACACATTTCTTAGATATTCAGCTTTCCTTGGGATAGTGCCATGTATTAGCTGAAGGCTAATTTTTACTTGGCGGATATGCCTTAATACCATTATCTTTTATTATAATTTTTCATTAATTAATTCAGCTATTTAGTCATTATTTTGGTCATGTATTAATTGATCCGGTGATTTCATGCTGATCAATTGTGATATAGATACAGCTATCCTCAAGGAGGATGAACACATATAAATTTTATAAACATAAAAAAAAGAGAGCATGCAGTAAAAGAAATTAAACTACTTCTAATGGAGAGAAAGAAAAGCTTACTTTCAGAGCGGTTAAGCCCGTATTTACAAAAGCCATGATTGTGAACTAGGCCATAAAGCATTTGGAAAAGATTTGAAATAAATTAGGTATCAATTGGAGGAAATGAGATGAGCAAAGTCTGGGTAGACAATGGGAGCAGCAAGTCATCAGGTTTCCCTGGATCAAAGGCTGACAAAGGAAGTAAATAAAGGAAAAGGAAGGAGTGTGAGGTCATGGGGTCTCCAAGCAACTGATATGATTACGTTTGAGACTACGGGACTGGGGATCCACTGAAGACTTTGGAATGAGGAGAGAAGGTGACATATTTAGAAATATTACCATCATTAGAAAGTAAGTTACTTGAAGGTAAGATCTGCTGTGTCCCTACTGCCTACGACAGTAGGCTCATAGTAGGCATTTGATAAATATTTGTAGAATATTATACTTAATGTCCTCAGAGTATGCCATATAGGGTATTCATGATACTTCCATTCATTTATTATTTATTAAAGTTTATTTACTTTCTGAATAGGTAATACATGCAATTGATACAAAATTAAAAATGTTCAAAAGACTGTACATTAAAAACTATGTTTCTATTTTCCTTTTCCTGTCTTTCCACTGTTTACTTCCCTCCAAGAGGCAATCATTGTTAGTTTCTTGTAGGTGTTCTAGAAGATGGGGTGTGTGTGTGTGTCTACACACTTTTATATACATATTTTCTATTTGTTTTACGAATGACAACATTCTGTACGCAAGGTTCTCTTTGATGCTTCTGTATTTATTTATCAGTCATTATTATTAAAAAACTGCTACATCCTTTTTAAGTTAATGCCTATTATTCCTTTGAATGAAGGCAATATAATTTATTTAAACAACACTCTAAGAAAGACATTTTGAAATTTTCAATATTTTCCTAGTTAAAAAATATAGCAGTGAACATCCTGTATAACTAGCATACAGGATGTATCTATTGTAATATTTTCCTGTGTAAAATGTTATCATGAGATATTTAACCATAAGGAAAAGTATAAAGAATAATTCAACAAGAATCTTGTATCCATTACTGGCCAAAGAAGTATAATATAAATGATACAGTTTAATTCCATATATAGCACTCTCCAATTCCACACCTCTCTTTCCCTTAGGTGAGCATCAGTGTAATTATTACTAGGAATGAATAATTTTACACAGATTTCAGAGCCATTTGTACTTTTCCTTTTTTTTTTTTATTAGTATACTTTTAGTTTTAGGGTACATGTGCACAATGTGCAGGTTAGTTACATATGTATACATGTGCCATGCTGGTGTGCTGCACCCATTAACTCGTCATTTAGCATTAGGTATATCTCCTAATGCTATCCCTCCCCCTCCCCCCACCCCACAACAGTCCCCAGAGTGTGATGTTCCCCTTCCTGTGTTCATGTGTTCTCATTGTTCAATTCCCATCTATGAGTGAGAACATGTGGTGTTTGTTTTTTTGTCCTTGAGATAGTTTACTGAGAATGATGATTTCCAATTTCATCCATGTCCCTACAAAGGACGTGAACTCATCCTTTTTTATGGCTGCATAGTATTCCATGGTGTATATGTGTCACATTTTCTTAATCCAGTCTATCATTGTTGGACATTTGGGTTGGTTCCAATCTTTGCTATTGTGAATAGTGCCGCAATAAACATACGTGTGCATGTGTCTTTATAGCAGCATGATTTATAGTCCTTTGGGTATATACCCAGTAATGGGATGGCTGGGTCAAATGGTATTTCTAGTTCTAGATCCCTGAGGAATCGCCACACTGAATTCCACAATGGTTGAACTAGTTTACAGTCCCACCAACAGTGTAAAAGTGTTCCTATTTCTCCACATCCTCTCCAGCACCTGTTGTTTCCTGAATTTTTAATGATCGCCATTCTAACTGGTGTGAGATGGTATCTCATTGTGGTTTTGATTTGCATTTCTCTGATGGCCAGTGATGTTGAGCATCTTTTCATATGTCTTTTGGCTGCATAAATGTCTTCTTTTGAGAAGTGTCTGTTCATATCCTTTGCCCACTTTTTGATGGGGTTGTTTGTTTTTTTCTTGTAAATTTGTTGGAGTTCATTGTAGATTCTGGATGTTAGCCCTTTGTCAGATGAGTAGGTTGCGAAAATTTTCTCCCATTTTGTAGGTTGCCTGTTCACTCTGATGGTAGTTTCTTTTGCTGTGCAGAAGCTCTTTAGTTTAATTAGATCCCATTTGTGAATTTTGGCTTTTGTTGCCATTGCTTTTGGTGCTTTAGACATGAAGTCCTTGCCCATGCCTATGTCTTTTCCTTTTTAATGAACTTTCTGTTCATAAACTTCGTCTATTTTATACGGTGTTATCTTTTTAAATTGATTTATAAGAACTTTTTATATGTTATGCAATCAACTCTGTGTGGAAAGAGAACATTTTTGGGTAACCCTGGCAGATCTCTCCTGGTTTCCTGGTAATGAGCCAATGGCTCCCCCTCTTTTTAGCAGCGCAGGTTGGGCTCAGTCTCAATTTCCTATGAGATAACTCAGAGATGGAAGCAGCTTGCACATCCAGCAGTGATACACAACTCTGCTGCACAGCTGGCACTAAATCTCAGATTGCATTCCTTGGACTTGCAGGGTTGTTCTCATGCTTTCCTTAAAAAAGCTGTGGCCGGGCGCTGGGGCTCATGCCTGTAATCCCAGCACTTTAGGAGGCCCAGGCGGGTAGATCATGAGGTCAGGAGATTAAGACCATCCTGGCCAACATGGTGAAACTCCGCCTCTACTAAAAATGCAAAAATTAGCTGGGCATGGTGGTGCGTGCCTGTAGTCCCAGCTACTCAGGAGGCTGAGGGAGGAGAATCGCTTGAACCTGGGAGGCGGAGGTTGCAGTGAGCTGAGATCTTGCCATTGCACTCCAGCCTGGCGACAGAGCAAGGCTCTGTCTCAAAAAAAAAAAAAAAAAAAAAAGTGACAGCATCAAGGAAGCAAAGCTCCTCTCCTTCAGCATGGCCCCAAAGAGAATCCTATAGTATCTGACCTAGGCATATATCCTTCCAGTTGCTAAGAGAAAGGGACTCATGGAAATTGCTGACCATCTACCAACAGGTCACCAAAAGATGCATACAGTGTTTATCTTGAACCTTTTGCATGGTAACCTGTGATGGCACTTACTTTATTTCCCTATTTGTTTACCATTTGTCCTTTGACTTTGTTTTTTGCCATGAGAAATGTTCTGAATTTTTTGTAGCTCATTTTATTTCAAAAATGATTTATTAGTATATATATGATTATATTGACAAGTACAAAGTAGACTCTTTTTCTGCACTTAAAATAACTTCTTGCATATTGCCACATACAATGTATAATTATCTCAGCTTGGTGTCACCAAATATACAGTTTAATCCCAACTGACTTCTCGTTATACAACTTAATATCTAGTGATATTCCATACAGGCATGTAATTCTCCTTTTATTACTCTAGTGTGTGGTCTCATAAATTCTGTCTTCCTGATGAGAAGCGTCATGTGCTGTATCTGTTGGACACAACAGAATAAAGTGTACTTTTAGGTGAAATCATTTATAGGATATAACATCTTCTTCATCCTTTTAAAACTTTCTGTTATTCAAATTTAAAACATAAGAGCAGAAACAAATATACAATAAACTTTTACATACTTGTTATCCATCTACAGCAGTCAACAATTCATGGCTGCTATTGTTCCATCTTTACTCTGAGGTACCCTACCACCCACCCCATCACCACTGGATCAATTATCATCCCTTTATGTTATGGTTTCTAGCATTTGTGTTATGCTTAGAAAGGCTTTCCCCACTCCAAAATTATTATAAACAATCATCCATGCTTTTTTTCCTATTATGTTTGTGGTTTTATTTTATAAATTTAAATAATTATGCATATTATTTATGGGATTTATTTCAGTTTAAGGTATAAAGAATGTATCCCACTCACTTTTTCCAGATTGATTTTTAATTGTTCTAGTGCCATTTATTAAAGAAGCCATTCATTAATTAGCGATGTGAAATGACAAATTGATTATATACTGAATTATCATTTTGAATCAGAAATTTTCTTCCTGAATATTCTAGTGTAATGTATTTTATTGCTCTATCTAAATATGAAATGTGACATATTTATTTATTTTTTTGAGATAGAGTCTCGCTGTGTCACCCAGGCTGGAGTGCAGTGGTGCAATCTCGCCTCACTGCAAACTCCGGCTCCCGGGTTCAAGCAATTCCTCTGTCTCAGCCTCCCAAGTAGCTGGGACTGTAGGCGCCTGCCGCCACACCTGGCTGATTTTTGTATTTTTAGTAGAGGTGCAGTTTCACCAGGTGGGCCAGGCTGGTCTGGAACTCCTGATCTCAAATGATCCACCCACCTCAGCCTCCCAAAGTTCTGGGATTACAGGCATGAACCACTGTGCTCCGCCCAACATATTTAAATTATTACAGATTTAAAGTATTTAAAATATCTGGTTAATTTAATGCCTACTTATTTCTCTTTTATCTCAGAATATTTCTTGTTATTATTGCTTATTTTGCTCTCCAAGTAAATTTTATGATCAGGTTATTTAGTTTAAAATAAAATATTGTTTAGAATATCTCCTCTCCAGGTTGTTGAGACTCTTAAATGAGAACTCATAAAACATATCCCTAAAAAAATCTGACTTAAGTATGTTTTTCATAAATGTATGATTTACTAAAGAAAAAAATACCTGTTAATATGGATTAATTTAATTTATTGATAAATTAGGGAAAAATTAGTATATTTATGATGGTAAATCTTTCTCTCCTGGGACATGATGGACTTTGCTTAAGTCTTCTTTTGTGTCTGTCAAGAGTGTTCTGAAGTATCAACCTTGCAGCTGTGGCATATTTCTATCTACATGCATTCCCAAGTATACCTTTTAGGTGACGTTGTTAATGTTAACATTATTTAACGTTATTAACTTTATACTATCTCACAGCTGGTTGTTATTTATTTACATGATGGCAATATTAATTTTGTATCCAGTCAATTTATTATTTTCTTTTTATCACACTAATATTTTTCAGTTTCTTAAGTTTTGCAGATAAGCAAACACAACCTAAAATGTTGGTCGTTTTTCTCCTTTTCAGAAGGTTTTTTATTTGTATTTATTTTTTTCTAATTGTATTAATTAGCACTTCTTAAATTGAGTTAGATAATGATGATATATCTGGTTTAACTTCATTGGATTATGGTTGGGGTAAATAAAAGAAATATGTATATATATGCTATGTGTATATATATATATATATAGAGAGAGAGAGAGAGAGAGAGAGCGCGCTAAGGATATATGCAGCTTTTCCTGATATCATAGGCTGAATAATGACCTGTCTCTGCCTGAAAATGTCCATGTCCTAATATCCAAGTCTTGTGAATATGTCACTGTATGTGGTAAAAAGGACTTTGTAGGTGTGGTCACTTTAAGGATTTTGAGATGAGGAGATCATCCTGGATTAGCTGGGTGGGCATAATATTATCACAAGGGTCCTTGTAAGAAGGAGGCAGGAGGGTCCTCAGAGGGAGGCAGAAGTGAAAACAGGCCAGGAAATGAGCTCTACCCTAGAGCCTACCGAAGGGATCACAGCCCTGTTGACACCTTGATTTTAGCCCATAACACCCATTTTGGAGTTCTGACCTCCAGAACTGTAAGATAATGCATTTGTGTTTTTTTAAACCACGAGATTTGTGATAATTTGTTACAACAGCAAAAGGAAAGTAACACAGTGGGGGGAGGGAATCTCTCAAATTTTTATTCATTTTTATTAAGGGTTTATTAAAATTAAGAATATATAATAAATTTTAAAATTTATTTTTAACCCCCATGTAGGTGATTACTTAATTTTTCTCTTTTGTCTATAAGTGTATGGCATTACTTTAATAGTTTTGCTAATATTGAACTAACTATCGCATTTCTAGAATAAGTACTTCATCAATGGTATATTATTCTTTCGATAGTTTAATTGTCAATATTTTATTTATTTTTCATCAACATTCATAAGTGTTATTTCTTCAGTTTTCTTTTTCTTATTATCTTTGCTAGATTTTTAGCATCAGTGTCATGCAAAATTCATGCAATGAATTTACAAGATTTCTTTTTTTTAATGCTCTGGAAGAGTTTAAGTACTGAAGATACTTGCTTTTAAAAGTTTGACAAAATTTTCTTGTGAAATCATTTAAATGTAGTATTTTTTCTGCCTCTGTCTTTGGTAACTTTGTCTATTTCTTATGATAATTGATGAATTTGGATTTGCTATCTCATCTGAAACCAGTTTTCATTATGTATATTTTATTAGAAAAGCTTCTATTTTCTTAGATTCTAAAATTTTTCTTTTTCTCTCTGTGGTCCAGTCTAGCTAGTAAGAGTAAGTACTGTTTCTGATCCCGTGAGCATGAGGCACTGTTTGCTGTAATCCTTTCAGATGGTTTTATCCCTGGCTTTGGGACATTTCCTCATATGCACGCACTGATCTGTACTTTGCTATATATTAGAAGAGGTCTCTGCAGATCTTCAAGGTTCTTTGCGTGCAGCTCTCTCCTTTTCAGCACTCTACCCAATGAACTCTAACCACCTTGCTCTCCCCAAAGCATCAGTTTCACCTCCTTAACTCAAGAAGTACACAGGGCTTCACCTCCTCAACTCAAAGTACACAGGGCTTCACCTCCTCAACTCAATAAGTACACACATCCTGATCTATGGTCTGGAAACTCTCTTAAGGCAATGATTTAGGTAATCCTAGGGCTCACATCCTTTATTTCTCATGTCCCATTGATCATCTTTCATTGTCTGATGTCCAGTGTCTTCAATCTGTACATTTAAGTATTCTTTTATTCCTGAAAACCTATTTTGACTTAGTTTACCTTTTTGTCCTATAATCTATTTGTCTTTTTGGTGATTTTAAGCAATTGGAGACTATTGATTGGCATAGTTGGGATGTATTTTTCCTTTTTTATACAGATATTATTTCTTTATGTTTTTAAAAATTCCGTACTGTTCGCATTCATCATTTTGGTTCTTATGTCCCTTGTGGAATGTTCAGCCTCTTCTTCTCCATTTTGGGTCCCTTCCAACTGCTCACATGTTGACTTTCCCTGGGCTCTGTCAGCTCATGATTTATCTCTTTCTATTTGCATGTCAAAAACCTCCCTAAGCTCAGATAGCTCTGATTGTATTCTTGTACCATGGACATGATTGTTTCAATTTTCTAATCTACAGTGATACATGGGTTAAATTTTTCATCAACTTTGTCACAGTATACTTTCTGGTGAGATTACTTCATCTCCTATATTTTACCTGTTTTTCTCTTTTCAGCTCATCTTATAATTGCATAATTATAATTTTTAATAATTATTACTACTCTTGGTTCACCAAGGATATTTTTTAGGGTAGCTAATTTCAGGATTGCACATGGGGAAAGAAGACAAACCCTGTTCAGGTGAGTGAGGCTTCTCTTTATAACCCAAAGGTATGCCTCACCTTGGAGTGACTTCTTTTACCCTTCACTACTCTGTAACCAAATAAGATGGCCCTGCAGAGCCAGTTACAATGTTGTCTTTTTTAACATCAGACCACATACTAGGCTAAACTTTTTGTTTTCTCTTGTGGTGATTAAAAAAATTAATTAATTTTAAAAATATATGCAAAAATCTGCATTTTCTTTAAAGAACACTCTTCGTGTTAGAATGAATCTTTGTGTTGGTGGTTTCTGTAGCTGTTTGTCCTCTAAGAAGCATGGTATTATAATAATTTGGACCTGCCTGGTGGTACTGGTGGTGATTAGAATCATTATTGTTTGGGGTGCAGGAAATCATTAGTTTGGAAAGCAAAGTTTTAGTCCCACTTCTGTTTTTAATCAGTTGCCAAAACTTAAGCAAATCTCAGTTTGTATTAAATATTGCTTTTTATTCAATATTTATTTTCCACTTACTTACAAAGTACTGTCTAAACTGCTAGGGATAGACATTTCTGCCCCCTCCTATATTCCCTGGAGGTTTGGAAAAACCAGTTTGAATATGCTTGAAGCATGGAGTGGGAATCTGTTGTTTTTGCCATCCACCTTCTCAATAGAAAGGCCAGAGCTTGCCTGTCAGTGTTCCAACATTGTTTCATTCTCATCTCCATTTTCAGATGACCTACTAGTTGTGCAGCCTGGCTCTGCCTAATTGGAGACCTCTTCCACAGACTTAGGTTAATGTCAGGTTGGCACTATTGCATAGGAGAGATCTCACAGCTGCTTCTACGTATTTGGCTGCTCTGAGAAATCTTATTTGCCATCAAAAAACAGTGTTTCTTCCAAAACACTCTACATTAACATCTCATTTGAGGACTCAGAGTTTCTTGAGTATGCAGTGTGGCAGCTTAGAAAATTCCTTCTTTCCTTTATCCTCCCTTCCTTTCTTCCTACTTTCCTTCTCGCCTCCCTTCCTTTCTTCCTTTTTTCCTTTTCATTTGTTTCTTCCTGTTCCTCATACACATTTGGTGCTCAGATATTTAGAAATGGCCCATAGATGATGATGATACATAGCACAATTTAAAAGACATCCAGCTTCAATGAGACTCATTTTTGATTAAAAAAAAAAATACCACACAATTGGCAAAGATTCAAAGTCATCTCCATGTCATGGTGCATGAAGGGAACACCTGTTAGGGTTGCCCAGCTGTGACTAGCGCAAAAGTTATGTGTCTCTCTAAGCTTTATTTTTGCCTTAGACCAGCTGTCTAAATGATCCTCTCATTCAGTGAACTGGTTAGGGCTGCATTGAAGAGCAGGAAGGGAACTTGAATGGGATCCTTAACACTTAACTTTTTCTTGCATACAGAAAGATAAAAGAATAATAGCTAGATGCATGGAAAAAACATGATGTAAACTCTCAGTTGTCTTCCTCTGCTTTTCCTTCCTCTCACCTGTTTCCTTCCCAATGTCTGCACTAGACTGGGTCTCCAGAAATGGCCCCATGGCACTCTGTTTTTTTTTCTTTTTATAGTCTTTCATACTTCTCTTCAAAGAGGCTTGGAGAATGCCTTTTGTTACCACCAGCACTTAGCAGGGTCCTGCTGAGCAAGTAAGCTCCCAAGGGCCTGTCAACACTTTCTCTCAGCAGTTAGCTGCCTCACACTTTGACAGTCATACATTCCCGCGAAGTGAAAGTCCTTCTCTGCTGAATCAGGGCATGGAAATAAAGGAGCCGAAGGAGCAAGGCAGGTAGGCTGGAACAGCTGGTAAGATTCTTTGTGACTGAGGTGGGTCTCTTCAAGTCAGTGGCTCCCTGTCAGAGTTGGGGCTGGATTAACATCTGTGACATAAACAAATGGGTGGATGAAGTACTGATTACCTCCTTTTGTCCTGCTCAAAGGATTGCTTAATCAGCAAAGAATCACACTATATTTTTAAAGCAGGAAATACAATTTTGAAAAATAGTTTTCAAGAACACTAAACAATTCTTAATTTTTGAACATATAGCTACAATTACAGTGCAATAGAATGGGAAGTACTTTCAGAAATAAGCCTGTCCAGCCATTTAAAGATAGATATACTGAGGCACAGAGAAAAAAAGGGGGACTTTCAAAGACCATGCATTTGTGGATTCTTGATCTGGAATGGTATAGAACAGGGCTTCTCAACCTTGCTGCTATTGCATTCAGCACTGAATAGTTATTTATTATGGGAGGCTGTCCTGTGTACTGGAGAAGCTTTATCAGCATCCCGGTCTTCACCCTCTGGATGCCTGTGGCAGCCCTTCCAAAGTCAAAACAACCCAACACATCTCCAGACATTTCCAGAAGTCCTGTAAGGGCACAGTCACCTCCAGTTGACAACCAATGGTCTAGAATGTGCTAATGCTGAGCCTGTCTTCAAGTAAAGAGTCAATGCAGGCCCTCTGTATTTGGTGCTGGTCAGGACATACCTGTATTTCTCAAGCAGACTTTCATCAGGAGATAGACAACTAACAGGCCCAAAAGAGAGAGATCACAGTAGTGGTGAAGACGTCTGTCAAGTCAGAATTCAAGCTCTCGCCCACTCCATTCCCCTCAAAAGGCCAGGCTCCTTCCCCAAGACAAAGCGTGAGCATGGTGCTCTGTGCAGGATTTCTCCTGTCTCTGCCACTACCTCATGCATTACTTTAAGTCAGTTGTCACCACTCTGCATGTCAGTTTCCCTCTTGATAATGAGAGTATTTGGAAAATATTTTCCCACACCTAATCTAGCTTTGATAGTGTTACTCACTCATGTTACAAGATTCCAAATCAAAAGAAAACCTGTTCTCTCAGGCCCCACTACAAGTCCCAGATCCCAGGGATTCTCCAATCTCTGAATTCAGCACATTTTCCTAACCGAGTTTTAGGTGTGATTTCCATCCAGGGCTCAGCTGAGCTGGAAAGAGAGCTGAGCAACCAGGTGTCAGAGTAGTCAACTAAAGCAACAAGACAAAAATGAAAGCAGCAGTCAACTTTAATCAATAACTATGGTGGTGTCGGCACACTGTGAATGCAAACATGAGTGGAAGCAAGGCTGGCCAGAGGGGCCTGAGTCCTTGACTGCAATACCTCTCAGGGACTGTGATGTACTGGCTGTGTATCAAGTCTGGTGTGGGGAGGGCAGTTTCCCCCTTCTGACCTGACAGGTAAAGCCTTTGTAACTGCCTAGAGTCAAGCCCGAAAAATCATACATAGATTTTTTTTTGGCCAGGCACTGGTCTTCTCAATTTCACTTAGATCTATCCAAATTTCTAGCAGGTGCTTTCACTGGCTTTCTATGTCTCCTCTGACTTAAATATGCAAAATACCTTCCTGGTTTCTTTAAGGTCTTGAATACTTGCTTCTATTTGTGGCTAATGCTATCAGAGGGCAGATGAGACTTTCTAAGCCATTGAAAAAGAAACAAATGTACTTTGGTGTAATGGAAAGTGCAAGGAGATTAGGATGTGAGCTCCTAACAGGCATCAAGTACAAAGTTGCTTAGATTCCCTGGGGCTTAGTTTCTCATTCCCATTGTCTTATGACCTCATGCATATGTATACGGTATGAATAAGTGAGATACACCTCCACATTGCAGGAGGTCAGCAGCTCTGAGTAAATATTTTTGAGTGCATCAATAAAAGGGTAACAGTGTGCACTTGGAAGTCCACTGATCATTCCAACAGAACACATGGACGTGCAGTTTAGAAGCAGATTATTAAATGTCAAGATGTACATCAATTAGAAAAGCAGAAAACAAAAACTCTTGCTCCATAAACACTCATATCAATAGAATTTTTTTCTAGCGTCCTAAAACAAAATTCCTACTTATTTGCAATTTACCATCCCCTAGAGGAAAGTTTAACAAGGGTAAATCACGTTTAAGTGGGCACTCAAATTTGTGTACTGACATTTACTGAGAGCCAGTTTTTAAAAAACTCAGGTTCTGTGCTAGTTGCAAATAAGTCAGTAATAGAGATTTCCAAGGCAAACTTGTCTTATGCTTCAGGCTCAAAAATTCAACCTTCCTCTGTGCATCTGTATCCAAATGTCCCACAGACATGGCAAACCCAACATGTCTAACTTCAAATTCTTCATCTTTCCTCCTAATGTTCTCAGCTCCCCAAGCTATGTACAAGAAAATTTTCTTTCTTCACTTCTCCTTTTACCTTGGGAACGGCACACCAATGTGTGCATTAACTTCATATTGTTGTAGGACTTTCTCCTTAGTGCAGCTAAAAACGGGGTCCTTGTCACATGACCATGAGAGATTAGACTCGCAGACATTTCGAAGGTTGAGAAAAATGGGATTTATTGGGCAAAAAAGTGAAAAAGGGGAACAGGGTCTCTCAGCAAAGCAAAAGCCCTGCTAGTCTGCTTCCTGCCTCACAGATTGAATCCCAGGTTCCACCCTGCAGCAGGAGAGGAGAGGCCAGTCTCCTCCCCAATGCAAATGACATGAACTTCCCAAGGCTCCAGCCCAGTAGGCACTCCTCCCAGTGCTCAGGCCCATTGGAGATTCTCTGGTGACCTCTTTATATTTGGCTGTCTCGATATATTAATAATAGAAATATTGATATTATTACAGTATTAAATCTTTCCATCCAAAAATATTGCATGCTGCTCCATTTGTTTCAGTCTTGTTTTATGTCCTTCTACATAAAACATAGCTTTCTTCTTGTAGATCTTATACATCTTTGTTAAAATTTGACCTAGGTATGTTTTAGAGCTTTGGCCACTGTAAAGTGACTTTTTTCCCTTTTTTATCATTTTGAATTTGTTATTCTTAAGAATAAAAGCTGTAGAATTTTGACAACGTATCTTATTCTAAGTGGCATCTCTTTGCTGAGTCTTCCATGGCTATCCAATTGACAGGGCTCCTCCTGTGTTTCTCTCTGCCTATTTTCCAACCCTGTTTTAATTTCATCACAGTGTTCACCATCTAACATTTTACTGATTTACAAAACTTGTTTATTATCTATTTCTCTCCCATTAGAATAGAAGCTTCTATTCACCTCTAAATTTCTAGCACTCCAAATAATGTCTGGCATAAAATAACTGCTCAAATATGTTTAAATAAAATATGAATGAATTTATGTGTATTTATTGCATAAAACATCATTTTTATATACATTCTATTACCGCCCCATTAGATTTTTTTTTATTTTGACTAAAATTATTTGTTTTGTTCTGGATATGTAATCACAGCATCTGAAAATACATTTTGTGTTTCGTTATATTTATACTGATTATTTAATTTAAACTTTCCTCTCTGGCTCTATGAACTAGAGACATCAAAACTATAGACTATATGTAGTGATGCCAAAGTTGTTTGTCTTATTTAAGATTTCAATGGGAGTAGCTTTATTATTTCACTATTTATGTCAATGTTCACTACTAATAATTGCAAATTGTTGACCTTTGAGCTAACTTATTCAAAGAAAAGACTGCTAGATTCTATCAAGTGACTTTTCAATATCTATTAATCATATGGGTTTTTTTTTAAAGTAAGGTATTATGCTTATAGCTTTTTCTGTTGGTAAACCATGGTTTTATTCCTGAAATAAATTCTCAAGTTTGATATGTTATGCTTCTAATATGCTGTTGGATTTAGATTGAAAACATTTTATTTAGAATTATTGTACTTAGTAAGTTAAACTGA